>NC_000002.12:30575876-30728626 GCF_000001405.40 Homo sapiens | reverse complement strand
CTGCCCACCATCTAACCACAACTTGTCCCTCTTTTTCCTGCTCTCTACTCCAACCACACCATTACACCTTTACTTCCTTCTATTTTCCATGCTTTTCCCAGCCTGAAGCCTTTGGCCTTACTGTCTGCTCTGTCTTGGCTGTCAGTCACCAAACTCCTGATCCTTTATGTCTTAGCCCAGTTGGGTTCCCATATTATGGGTTCCCATATTATTCACTCACATATCACCCCTCCCCAGTCATAACATTCAACACACTTGGTTGTAGCCCATCTTCTTTTAAAGAAATATATTGAGATATAATTCACACATTGTAGAGTTTGCTCATTTAAAGTATAGAGTTCAATGGTTTTTAGCGTAGTCAGAGGTGTGCAACAATCACCACAATATGATTGTTAGAACATTTTTATCACCACAAAAAAGAAACCCCATGCCCATCTAGCATGCCCACAGCAGTTGCTCCCCAATTGTGTCCCACCCTCTAGCCTGAGGCAACCACTAATCTACTTTCTGAATCTGTAAGTTTGCCTATTCTGGACATTTCATATGATTAGATTCATACAACATGTGGTCCTTTATGACTGGCTTCTTTCACTTAGCGTAATGCTGTCAGGATTCATCCATGTTGTAGCGTGTATCAGTACTTCATTCCTTTTAAGTGCCATATAATATTTCATTGTGGCTTTACCCCATTTTTTTCATCTATTCCTCAGTTGATAGACATGTGGGTTGTTTCTAGTTTTGACTGTCATTAATAATCCTGCTATGAATGTTTGTGCACAGGTTTTTGGGGGGACATATGTTTTTATTTCAATTGGGTGTATAGTTATGAGTGGAACTGCTGGATCATACGGAAATTCTATTTGTAAATTTTTGAGGAACCACCAAACTGTTTTCCAAAGCAGCTACACCATTTTACATTCCCACCAGCTGCAAATGAGAATTCCATTTTCTCCACATCCTCAGCAACCCTTGTCATTGTCTGTCTTTTATAGCAATCCTAGGGAGTGTGAAGTGATATCTCACTGTGGTTTTGATTTGCATTTTCATGATGACTAATGATTTTGAGCATCTTTTCAGTGCTTGTGGGTTATTTTATATCTTCGGCGAAATGTTCATTTAGTTCTTTGTCCATTTTTAAGCTGGGTTACTTATATTTTTACTACAGAGGAGTTATAGATGTTCTTTGTATATTGTAGATACGAATTCCTTATATATGTGATTTGCAAAATTTTTCTCCCCTTCTGCAGGTTGTCTTTGCAGTTTTTGATGCCATCATCTGTAGCATATGAGTCTTTAATTTTGATGGAGTCTAATTTATCTATTGTTTTCTTTTGTCACATATTTTTGGTGGTATAGCTGAGAAATCATTGCCCAACCCAAGGTCAAACTATTTATTCTGTTTTATAGTTTAGCTCTTACATTTAGGTCTTTGATCCATTTTGAGATCATTTTTTATATGGTGTGAAGTAACGTTCTAATTTCATTCTTTTGCATTCATTCATTTGTCCCAGCACCAGTTGCTGAAAAAACTATTCATTCTCCTGTTTCTTTGTCTTGGAACCCTTTTCAAAAATCAATTTAATATAAGAATGTATTTATGGACGTTCCTTTCTGTTCAATTGATTTATGTGTGTATCTTATGCCAGTATCACACTTTGTTGATTGCTACAATTTTATAGTAACTTTTGAAATTAGGAAGTGTGAGTTTTCCAACTTTATTTTACTTTTCAAGACTATTTTGGCTCTTCTGGGTTCCTTGCATTTACATATAAATTTTAGAATCAATTTATCAGCTTCTGGGATTTTGATAGAGATTACATTAAATCTAAAGGTCAATCTGGGGAATATTGCCATCTTCACAATATAAAATCTTTTGTTCCATGCGTCTCTTCATTTTTCTATATCTTCTTTAATTTTTTTGAACAATGATTTACAGTTTTCAGTGTAGAAGTCTTACACTTTCCTTGTTAAATTTATTCCTAACTATTGTAGTTTGGGATGCAATTTTAAATAAAATTGTTAATATTATTTTCAGATTTTCATTGCTAGTGTACAGCAATAAAAATTATTTTTATATTGATCTTATATCCTGCAACCTTGCTAAACTTGTTTATTAGTTCCAATATTTTTAAAGGGCTTCCTTAGAATTTTATATATTCAAAAGTCATGTAATCTGCAATAAAGTTTTATTTTTCCACTCCAATATAGAGGCTTTTTATTTCTTTTTCTTGCCTAATTGTCTGGCTAGAACCTCTAATACAATGCCGAATAGAAGTGTACAAAGCAGACAACCTTGTGTTCCTGATCTTGGGGGAAAACACCCAATCCTTTGCCATTAAATATGATGATCACTGTGAGTTTTTCATAGATACCATTTGCCAGGTTGAGGAAGTTCACTTCTATTTGTAGCTGGCTGAGTTAACACACTTTTCATTACTTGCTTGATGTCAGTATTCTCTGCTAGACTATAAGCCTGGGTATGTCTTGTTTGTTGCTATTTCCTTAGCACAAAGCGAAACACCTACCCTGGAGAAACTAGTTGGTAACTTTCTCCCAAATAACCGAAATAAATCATTCTTTCAGGTTTATACCTTCCTTTGTTTTGTTCTCATCCTAGCATTTGTTAGTATTAGCTTACATCCTAGTCTTCCTGCTATTTTAGCTATTCTCTATTTTCTTCCCCTTTGGTGTACTGGAAGGCAGGTAGTTAATATTATCTTGTTATTATCTCTAATACATCATGACCCATATTATCTTATGAAGGCCTATTTTTCCCTCACTTTTTTGAAAAATTTGAAAATTTCCCTCACTTTTTTGAAAAAGTTGAAAGTGTCCTGGTCACTTCAACTCTATCCAATATTCCCTTACTTTGCTATTACAAAGTTTCTTCTAGGAGTTCCAACACTCTGAGGTCAGCAAAGAGACTTTTATCGTTAGCCAGGATTCGATCCAGAGAAGTCCCTCTCCTTGCTCACTTGATCCTCCGTGTTACAAAGTGTCCCTGGAGCGAGCAAAGTCTTTGTCCTGAGTTAAGCGAGCTTCTCCCAGAGATGAGGGTTATTGGAGCTCCATCACCAGTCTACTTGGTTTCCAGGTCACTCCCTACAAAACTGTGTACAAGAGGTCTTTTATCTGCCCTTGGACTCACCGGGCAAGTTGAGGTATACTTTTGTTGTAAGAATACTTCTGTTCCTCTCTCTGGCTCATCTTCAACCCATCTGCTCTCCTCTGACCTAGCAGATTGGGATATAGGTATATGCAACTGGGATGAACTCCTCTTCCTCTCTTCCCATCATATATATTTCTTTTAAACAAAGTGTATGCCTTGTTGTCACATTGCAGGCAATACCTATGTTAAAATATGTTAAAATATGTTTAAATATAAAGTTCATACTTGAAAGAATGCTAACACTTAACTCATTGCTCTGTGCTCCTTGGACACTTGAGGCTGTATTGATTTTAATTGATTTCAGAGTCTAGAGGTTTAATACACGGCAAATCACACCCTGCTGAGAGTTTGTCTAGCTAATGTCATCTACATCCATGTTGATCTATCAATATGCCAGTAAAATGCCTTATTCTAACAAAATTGTCATTTATAACAATTTCCCACTGTATAAAAATACAGTTTCTTGAGGAAAGGGCCACCTTCTCCTATTCTGCAGGATTTAGGTGAAATATGACAACAGTGGCCCTGGTCTTACTGAGACCAACAACCATTTTCTGCAGGATGAGTCTACTTCTAGCCCAGTAAATCCATCTCTCCAATCTCATTCTGTTCATCAAAAGAAATTCTTTTCGAGAGACCTGGCTAGATGTTCGGTTGAAGACTGACACCCCAGGGCAGATGGAACTGTCAGAGTTCAAGTTAAACTCTCCTATACTTCTGAGTTGAGAGTTGTGAGTCTGGATGTGCCTCTGGTGATGTGAAAACACTCAACACCATTGGCAAGCATACACCTGGTGGTTACCAGGCACCTTGAGATGCCAGGGTGTCCAGCCTTCTGGAGCTGGCTTTGGAAGAAAAATGTATCCAACTGGGAAACCGACATGTACACTCCAAGGGCATAAACCAAGGAGGAGGAAGAGTTGGAATCCGGGAAACAGAAGATCCAACACTAGACAGAGACAGGGAAGTCCAAGGACCAGCGCTATGCAGCAGAGCAAGAGAGTGAGCCATTCCGAGAGGAGCTGGAGGGGTGGCCTTTGGGGAAAATGGGAGCAATTTTTGATCAGATTGCTTAATTATAGAAAAAATAATGTTCAGAGGGATTTTGAAATTCTGCTGGAGAGCTTTGGAAGAATTAGTAGGATAATGACTTAAACTAAGCAGACAAAAAAGTGAGGTAGTTATTAACTCCTGGAAGAATAAAGAGTTACAGAAGAGAGAAAATGTGATCCTAGAGTATTTTTTCACTCAGCAGTGAACAGTACATATATAATTGTAATAAAATACAAATGGAATATTGATTTAACAAAAATGTGACATAAATATATCAGAAGGAGGGAAGATGTAGACATGAAAGGGGGTTAGAAGCAACCCCACCCCATCTTGCATCATAAGAAGTCAATAGGCATTTAAAATTGACAAATCAAGAATTAACTGCATAAGCACATTACCTAGAAATATGGAGGTAAACATCAGAAGAAAGAGTTTAGGGAGGGGAATTTGGATAGAAATGGGACAAGAACCTGCTATTTTTCCTTCGTGCCTTGTAGTACTCTTTGAATTTTCTAACCATGTATCTTGGACTGAGTTTTCATGGAAAAAAAAATAGGCAAACTAGCAAGTAGTCTGAGAGACAAGAGAGGTGGAGGGAGGCAGGGAAGAAGAGTTGAGGCCTCTTTACCCCATGGGTAGGGCAGCTGGCTGATTATTGCAGAAAACATGACTATGCACGAATGTCACTTTATTCCAAGCCCCCTGCACTTGAGAAAAACCACTCCTCTGCAGAAGTCCAAAGCTAGCCATCTGGAGCTTGGATGGGACAGAGCTCAGGGCTGTTGTTACTATAGCAGCCCCTGGCCTCAGCCCTTCTAACCTGCCTGGAGATGGGAGGAACATCTCTCCCCCAAGTTTCCCTCCACTCCAGTGCCAGCCCTCAAGGTGCTAAAATGGGCTATGATATGAACTCAAGCTTGGGGCAGGACAGGTGGGGGGGTGCCCTTTAAGGAATTTTGAAGAATGGGGTAGGGTCATCCATTAAGGGGCCATGGGCACGTTGGGGTCTGTCAGCCTTGCCAGCAGGAAGTGCCAGTGCTTCCTTTACTGTGGGATGATCCAGAACAGCATCTTTGGAATGGGGCCCCACTTCCATGGTCACTCAAAGGAAGGAGTTTCTTTACTCACCCTTGGCCCTCTGCATTTGCACCCCCGTGTCTTTCTCTAGGACAAGCTCCCAGTGATCACTCAAGAATCTGGCTCTCATTCTAAGAGGCTGTGCTGCCCAGTATGGTGGTTGTGATAAATCTAAACCAGCCCTGCATGAAACAGAGTCCAAGCTGTCTCCCAACAGCCTGGGTTCGGTCCTTGGCTGGCCCAGGCCCAGTTAAGCCTGTGGCCACCAAGCAGCTCATCTGAGCACTTTGGGATGTATTCAGCCTACGTTGCCCTGGAAAAGGAAGCAGGAGATGTCTCCCTGTGGGAAAGGAGAAGAGAAGTTGTCTCTGAGTCCCCTGTCACCAGTTGGATTCATTTCTTGGAAGAGCCAGAATGAGCCACTTTGACCACCCTCGGGTGCTATGGGTGACACAAGAGCTGTCCACTGGGTGTTTGCAGAATAATTACACTATCTTATGTCTGGATCCTGATGATTTCACAGCTAAATGGCAAAAATAAAACATGTTTCCCATAAAGGTCTCTCATTCATATTCTGTCTTAAAAATACATTTGGGGAAGAGGAAAAGTACCCAGCAAGGCAGACGCTTCCCTCACTCTCTCCTCATCCATGGTGCGGTCACTGGGTGTCTCAAAAAGGTGAGGCCCACAGAGGATGGAAGAGATTCCACAGCATAACTGGGCCAGATCCCGCTCAGAAGAATTTGCAGTTGGAAAGCTCATTTCTGGATGCATCAACCCAGTAGGGGAATCGTTGCAAATGGGTGTGTCAAAAGGACAGGAAGGTGGGAAGCTTGCTGAGTGTGACTTTCTGAGTGGCACGGTCGGAGGACAGGATGGTGTGGACAGGGCTGCATCATCACACACACACCCATGCCAGGAGCAAGGGCAGTGCTCGGCAGTGATGGCATGCTGTATACAAGTACCAAACAGGCCCAAGTGACCTCATCCACAGGGACTGTTGTAAAGCCTCCACAGTCATTTCAAGTAGAATAGCTACCTGCCTAAGGAGTTGAACCCCTCTTGCTAATGCTTTTGAATAGCGAGAGGGTCAGACACACAGCAAAGTTTGGGACAGGTCACTTTGCCTCCCAGTCCCCTGCTTGGTTAGCCAGGATAGATGCCCATGTTTGTGAGCATGGACTTTGGAGTTAAAGCTAATATCTAAAGATCCTGAATCCTAGGCTGTCAGACTGCCCTGTTGCATAAGATTTTCTGCATGCAAAAAAACTGGGGCTGGCAGGTCAACAGAGACTCTGATAAGTGGGAAAATCCATAAGAATGAATAAGCCATTTCCTGCAGGATTCAAAGATGACCTTCACCCAGGCATCCAGGTAGAAAGTCCAGCCCACCTGCACAATTTGCTGCCACAACCACATGTCATTCCAAGCTCCTTTTGGGCCTGCTTGCACCCTGGAGGACAAGCAGAAATGGATGATTCTGCAGGCCTAGGGTCAGTGGTGAGCAGCCCCAGGGGTCTGCACAGGCTGGACTGGTGTTCTCAGGATACAGGGCAATTTCTTCCCTCACAGGGCTTTGCTCAGGGACCAGTCATTAATTTTCTCTTTAACAGGATTTAAAGGGGCAGGGTCCTCAATTGCTTGATTGAAAAACTGATTCTCCCTGTCATGCTGGGGCTCTGAAGGCTCAGAAAGGCTCCAGGTGGCCACGGCAGAGGGGCCTGGGCTTCCCTGCTTGGAGCTGGGGGAGATTATATTCCAGTCTCCCCAGGGAAGGGCAGGACCTTGATCCTTAGCCCCAGCACAGGGCAGACCAGCCAGCTCACCCCGAGGCTGCATCTCCTTGGGACTCCCCATGTCCTTCAGCCAAAGTTGAGAAAGGGCTCCAGAGCAGGGCGGGCTTGACAGGCTGACGATCTCAGACAAACCCTGCCCCTGCCAGCTTCTTACACTTGGGTCCTGGGATGGGTTGCTTTGTCTCTGCAAGATGAGGAGGTGAGCAAGGACCATGGCTGGTGCCCAGATGGAGGGGTGGGATCCCTCACAGAGCAAATGACAAAGGCTCAGGCACAAATCCCACCTGCCCCCCAGGCTCCCTAGAGCTTCTGCTACTAAAGCCATCGTATGATGGAAGCAAGGTGTCCAGATGAGATTTCTGAGGCCCCGAGAAGAGGTGGCCATGCCATTAGCAGTGGCAGATACAGTGTGTCTCTGGGACACATTTAAAGTAGAGTGTAGAGGGAAATTTATAGCACTAAATGCCCACAAGAGAAAGCAGGAAAGATCTAAAAGTGACATCCTAACATCACAGTTAAAAGAACTGGAGAAGCAAGAGCAAACACATTCAAAAGCTACCAGAAGGCAAGAAATAACTAAGATCAGAGCAGAACTAAAGGAGATAGAGACACAAAAAAACCTTCAAAAAATCAGTGAATCCAGGAGCTGGTTTTTTGAAAACATCAACAAAATTGATAGACTGCTACCAAGACTAATAAGAAAAGAGAGAAGAATCAAATAGATGCAATAAAAAATGATAAAGGGGATATCACCACCAATCCCACAGAAATACAAACTACCATCAGAGAATACTATAAACACCTCTATGCAAATAAACTAGAAAATCTAGAAGAAATGGATAAATTCCCGGATGCATACACCCTCCAAAGGCTAAACCAGGAAGAAGTCTAATCCCTGAATACACCAATAACAGGCTCTGAAATTGAGGCAATAATTAATAGCCTACCAACCAAAAAAAGTCCAGGACCAGACGGATTCACAGCCGAATTCTACCAGATGTACAAAGAGGAGCTGCTACCATTCCTTCTGAAACTATTCCAATCAATAGAAAAAGAGGGAATTCTCCCTAACTCATTTTATGAGGCCAGCATCATCCTGATACCAAAACCTGGCAGAGACACAACAAAAAAAGAGAATTGTAGACCAATATCCCTGATGAACATTGATGCAAAAATCCTCAATAAAATACTGGCAAACCGAATCCAGCAGCACATCAAAAAGCTTATCCACCACGATCAAGTGGGCTTCATCCCTGGGAGGCAAGGCTGATTCAACATACACAAATCAATAAAAGTAATCCATCATATGAACAGAACCAAAGACAAAAACCACAGGATTATCTCAATAGATGCAGAAAAGGCCTTTGACAAAATTCAACAGCACTTCATGCTAAAAACTCTCAATAAACTAGGTATTGATGGGACGTATCTCAAAATAATAAGAGCTATTTATGACAAACCCACAGCCAATATCATACTAAATGGGCAAAAAGTGGAAGTATTCCCTTTGAAAACTGGCACAAGACAGGGATGCCCTCTCTCACCACTCCTATTCAACATAGTGTTGGAAGTTCTGGCCAGGACAATCAGGCAGGAGAAAGAAATAAAGGGTATTCAATTAGGAAAAGAGGAAGTCAAATTGTCCTGATTTGCAGATGACATGATTGTATATTTAGAAAACCCCATCATCTCAGCCCAAAATCTCCTTCAGCTGATAAGCAACTTCAGCAAAGTCTCAGGATACAAAATCAATGTGCAAAAATCACAAGCATTCTTATACACCAATAACAGACAAACAGAGAGCCAAATCATGAGTGAACTCCCATTCACAATTACTTCAAAGAGAATAAAATACCTAGGAATCCAACTTACAAGGGACGTGAAGGACCTCTTCAAGGAAAACTACAAATCACTGCTCAACGAAATAAAAGAGGACACAAACAAGGGAAGAACATTCCATGCTCATGGATAAGAAGAATCAATTGTGAAAATGGCCATACTGCCCAAGGTAATTTATAGATTCAATGCCCTCCCCATCAAGCTACCAATGACTTTCTTCGCAGAATTGGGAAAAAGTATTTTAAAGTTCATATGGAACCAAAAAGAGCCCACATTGCCAAGACAATCCTCAGCCAAAAGAACAAAGCTGGAGGCATCACGCTACCTGACTTCAAACTATACTACAAGGCTACAGTAACCAAAACAGCATGGTACTGGTACCAAAACAGAGATATAGACCAATGGAACAGAACAGAGCCCTCAGAAATAATACCACACATCTACAACCATCTGATCTTTGACAAACCTAACAAAAACAAGCAATGGGGAAAGGATTCCCTATTTAATAAATGGTGCTGGGAGAACTGGCTAGCCATATGTAGAAAGCTGAAACTGGATCCCTTCCTTACACCTTATACAAAAACTAATTCAAGATGGATTAAAGACTTGCATGTTCGACCTAAAACCACAAAAACCCTGGAAGAAAACCTAGGCAATAACATTCAGGACATAGTTGGCAAGGACTTCATGACTAAAACACCAAAAGCAATGGCAACAAAAGCCAAAATTGACAAATGGGATCTAATTAAACTAAAGAGCTTCTACACAGCAAAAGAAAGTACCATCAGAGTGAACAGGCAACCTACAGAATGGGAGAAAAATTTTACAATCTCATATGACAAAGGGCTAATATCCAGAATCTACAAAGAACTTAAACAAATTTACAAGAAAAAAATCAAACAACCCCATCAAAAAGTGGGCAAAGGATATGAACAGACACTTCTCAAAAGAAGACATTTATGCAGCCAACAGACACATGAAAAAATGCTCACCATCACTGGCCATCAGAGAAACGCAAATCAAAACCACAATGAGATACCATCTCACACCAGTTAGAATGGTGATCATTAAAAAGTCAGGAAACAACAGGTGCTGGAGAGGATGTGGAGAAATAGGAACACTTTTACACTGTTGGTGGGACTGTAAACTAGTTCAACCATTGTGGAAGACAGTGTGGTGATTCCTCAAGGATCTAGAACTAGAAATACCATTTGACCCAGCCATCCCATTACTGGGCATATACCCAAAGGATTATACATCATGCTGCTATAAAGACACATGCACATGTATGTTTATTGCGGCACTATTCACAATAGTAAAGACTTGGAACCAACCCAAATGTCCACCAATGATAGACTGGATTAAGAAAATTTGGTACATATACACCATGGAATACTATGCAGCCATAAAAAAAGGATGAGTTCATGTCCTTTGTAGGGACATGGATGAAGCTGGAAACCATCATTCTCAGCAAACTACCACGAGGACAGAAAACCAAACACCGCATGTTCTCACTCATAGGTGGGAATTGAACAATGAGAACACTTGGACACAGGATGGGGAACATCACACACTGGGGCCTGTCATGGGGTGGGGAGAGCAGGGAGGGATAGCATTAGGAGATATACCTAATGTAAATGATGAGTTAACGGGTGCAGCACACCAACATGGCACATGTATACATATGTAACAAACCTGCACGTTGTGCACATGTACCCTAGAACTTAAAGTATAAAAAAAAAAAAAAAGAAGTGACAGATACAAGATTGAAGCATAAGTCCCCTGATTCGGTTACTGTGGCCTCTCCAGCAACTAGACTTTAGGCTGGTGCCCGGTAGAGCAGAGGAAAGGACTGATCTGCTTCCCTGGAGCTGGGGGTTACCCCAGTGAGGTAGCCATCTGACAGCACGTGTGCACACACACACTCACTCCAGGGCAGCTGGGTTCCAGACAGCAGCTACATGTGCATACAGACTAGCGAAAGAGTTTAAATGGTGAGGAAGGAGCAAAGTGTATCAGCCAGGTCTAGTCAGGAAAAAAAAAAAAAAACAAAAAAAACCACTCAAGGTATTTCAAGAAGGAAGGGATCTAGTCTAAGGAATGAGGCACTTAAAAAGCTGTTGGATTGGTTAAAGGAGCAAAGGCCAGGAAGGTCACCACTGACTCCCAGGCTCACCACTAGCCTTAAGAGAACCAAGAAGCTGCTACTGCTACCCAAGCCAGACACTACAGGGAGCTGCCAGTAATGGTCCTGACCTCCTGCAGCCTAACACCAGTGACTTGCAAGACAAAACCTCACATCTGCTGAAACCCACCTGACTGCACAACTTGCTGGAGGCAGAATCATATGCCTTCTGCCTCTCTTCTGCCTTCCAAATGTCACCCACATGTATCTCAAGGGTGGGACTTAAAATGTACCTGGATCTGTCCTGGCAAGGGTATTTCTCAGGCTTCCAGCCCCTGCCAAATAGGAGAGAATATAGAAAGTGGTGTAAAAGCTGCCAGGTGCCAAGAGACAACAGCCAGCACAGAGAGGACGAAAATGGAAGGAGAGATAGAAAGACAAAAAGATGGAAATGGGGACCTGAGGAAGGGAGGAAACTTTAGACAGACGAGGAACAGATAGATGAGGCATGGCCAGGAGCAATACAGACAAATTAGATGGGAGAGACAGAGGATACGACAGAAATAGGAAGACTAAAACAGAAGGAAGAAGACTGGGGCCACAGGTGCTGGTAGGAGTATTGGCGATACAGCCCAGCCACGTGAAATCCATTCCCAGTGGAAATGTTTAGTTGCCCAACGCCATCAGAATTGTTTACCTCTGTTCATCTCAGACTTCTGAGGCTGTGAGTTTCAACATTTATATATGTAGGAATTGCCTTGAGTGACTTGTTTACAATTTTGTCTGAGATCCTAATCCAGAAGGTCTGGGGCTGGCCCTGGGGATCTGTGATTTTAAAGCTCCCCAGCTGACGGCACATAGTCCTTGGGTGACATTTCAGGAATCACCGCTTTTGCAACTTCGCTGACTGGTGGCAATTCTCTAGACTGCACCAACCAGGGTGACTGTGAGATCCCTAATGAATGCAAGCTTAAGGCCTACTGTGTTCAGAGGCTTCTTACCCGTCCCACCACAACCACACTCTGCTCCCTGGGATGTCACCAAGATCCCTTTCTACCACCTCCCAGTTCCCAGAGAACTGATGTCCTCATTGATTTTTACCTCTAAACAAGCTAATTAAGCAATAATCTTAAAAGAATCCATCACTCTGACAAGGTTGTTGATTAACAATCCTCCAGCCAAGCCAAAGTGCTTAATATCTCAGCAGAATGGTCAATAATGAGTACAGCAGTGGCACCCGGCTGCAGCAAAGCAGGTGATAGCTGTATCTGAGAAGACGGGTGCAGAATGGGTAATGGGCGCGACCTTGCCGCCTGGTGGAGGACAGAGGAGGGGAGGGTGGACGGGCTTGGGGCTGCACAGATGGGCCATCTCTAGCCAGACTCTAAACCATCCTTTCTGAGGCCACCAAATGCCCCCAGAGGACTTCTAAATCTCAGAGAAACTCTGGATCATAGGAGAAGGGTCATGTGAAAGGTGGTTAGACACATGGACAATTTTGGTTTTGTTTTGTTTTTGTTTTCCGAGACAGTTTTGCTCTCATTGCCCAGGCTGGAGTACAGTGGCACGATCTCAGCTCACTGCAACCTCTGTCTCCAGGGTTCAGGTGATTCTCCTGCCTCAGCCTCCCGAGTAGCTGGGATTACAGGCGCCCGCCAGCCACCACGCCCAGTTAATTTTTGTATTTTTAGTGAAGACAGGGGTTTCACCATGTTGGCCAGGATGGTCTGGAACTCCCGACCTCAGGTGATCCACCCGCCTCGGCCTCCCAAAGTGCTGGGATTACAGGCGTGAGCCACCACGCCCGGCCGACATGGAAAATTTTGCAGCTGTGTCAGTGATATACCCACTCAGAGAAGAGACAGGCAAGACGATAAAATGACTGCCTTTGAGAGGACAATGTTAAGTCCAGGGTAATGTTATCTTTCTCTTTTCTATACTTAAACACTCTTATTTTAAACACCTCTCTGTTCCCTTAAAAAACATTTTCTTTTTTCTGCCTTGGAGGATAGGCTCTTTGACCAAGTGGAATGTGGTAAAACACTGTCCCCGATGGTCAGAATTGTTGCAGCTTCAAATCCTCCAAGGTCCAAAGATTCCTGCCCATTCAATCAGTATCCAGTGTGGGCCACAGAAGGTGGAGCATCCAGGCAGCCCAGCAGGAGCATGCACCATCCAAGCTGCCACAGCTCCATCATCTTCACCTGACTTCATCTTGGTCTGAATCCTAGTCTCACTTTTGCTGTTGTTTGCATAAAGATTGGATGAGCTTGACAAGTACTCTGGACCAAAAGGAAGGAAACTGGCCCCACTTGTGATCTCTGGTCACTGACATGCCACGTCATCTTGCCTCTTTAAGAGTTTCCATTTCCATTCAACCACAAAGTCAGGCCCTCCCTATGGCTAAATTGGCAACATTAACCCACAGTGTGAGTAGGGCAGGGCCTAGGTTATATTCTCAGTCTTGCAACTGCCTCTGTCTGACATTAGTCAGATTCTCCAGTTGGGGGTTTTGCCTGGCCCCTAAATTCTTTCCTTCTAACTCCCTTGTTCTCTGAGACTCTGCCATGGCTTACGCCTAAAGGGCTTTCCTAGAGCCCAGTTCTCCCATTTCGCAGCCTGACAAATAAAATCAATTTCGCCTCTGTTAGAGCCATTGCAACTTCACTACCCATGTATTGAGCCTGGAGTAAGTGCTCAATAGATGTTAAGGGAGTGAATGAATGAGCACATGTGGTGTAAAGATACGCACCACGGGGGAGTGGACAGAGCACTGGGTGAGAACAGAGCACTGGGTGAGAACTCTGGAGTCTAAGGTTCAAGTCCCGGTTCTGCCTCCATCAAGCTGTGTGCCTTAGGGAAATGGCCTTCTCTTCTGGGCTTCCTTCTCCAAAAATGAAGGGGCTGGACTTGCAGATTTCTAAGGTTCCTTCCATGTCACAGACTTGGAGATCCACGTCCTAACAGATTCTACTCCGCAATCATCAGCGAGGGGCAGCAATTAACAGCCAGAAAAAAGCCCCTCCAATTCAGCAACAGCAGCTCTGCTGAGACCCATGCTCTCTGGGGCAGTAAGTCAAAACAGTCCTCCCCTTCTTTAGCCTGGGAGTTGCTGCTTCTTTTATGATGCTTGTGACAATGAAAATTAAAAACCCCTTTCACCTACCTGAGGTTGGCGGTTAAGCCAGCGTTCACATGTTTTGGGGAGGTTAAAAAAAAAAAAAAAAAAAAAAAAAAAAAAAAAAAAAAAAAAATCTGGCCACTGTGCAGCCGCAGATAATGGTGCGACAGTGACACCTAGTGGTCATCTCCACTAATTACTGCTCAGCCCTGCTGCTCAGCACTGCAAGCCAGGAGTTTGCCGGAAGTCAGGCCCTCCCTATGGCTAAATTGGCAACATTAACCCATAGTGTGAGTAGGGCAGGGCCTCGGTTGTAATCTTAGTCTTGCAACTGCCTCTCTGTCTGACCTTAGTCAGCTTCTCCAATTGTGGGTTTGGCCTGACCCCTAAAGTCCTTCCTTCTAATTCCCTTGTTCTCTGAGACCCTGCCATGGCTTATGACTTATAGTTGGGAGTCCTAGGCCCAGGTGGAGAGCAGGATATCCATACCAGGTAGGAGCAGCTCTAGGACCCCAGGGTCCAGCACTGGGACCCTGGGGTTCCACCCAGGATGATTATGCACATCCCTGTCCACACATTCAGTTCCACGCAGCCGCGAGGCAGGACCACACAGCCAGGCCATCAACCATGGATGTTACAGCCAAGGGCTGCCTCCATTTCAGCTGCCAAGGTAGGAGAAAGTAACAAAACCAGCCAGAGAGAAGCCTGGGGGAGCTGACTTTCTATTGGTGGCAGGGGGCAGTTCACCTGGTTTTGCCCACTTTGTGCAACAGAATCTTGCCCTCTTGCTGGGGTCTGTAGGGTTCAGATATCTCTAAAGAACAATGCAGATGGGTTCTTCTTAGCACATTTTACTGCCTATATGTACACCCCACAAACTACAAAGGGTGGAAAGGGAAGCTATGGGTTGAGGCTTTAGAACCTCCCCCACAGGTCACAAGTGCTCACGGTTTAACATGGCTGGGGACATAGTGGCTGAGCTTGTTGAGTCTTTCCTGAGTTCCACATTATTCTTTTTTTTTTAGATGGAGTCTCGCTCTGTCACCCAGGCTGGAGTGCAGTGGCGCGATCTCGGCTCACTGCAAGCTCCGCCACCTGGGTTCACGCCATTCTCCTGCCTCAGCCTCCCGAGTAGCTGGGACTACAGGTGCTGGGCTTTCTGCCACTTGAATCCTGTTTCTTATCACCCGTGTTTGGTCTGTGTTTATGAGTCTTTCTCCAAATGTCATCTGTCCGTACTGCATGGTTTCTACAGAAGACCTTGGTGCCTTCCAATATGCCCACCACTAAAATGCTGGGTGAGGCTTTGCTGATTTCCTCACCCTTACTCCTCATGGTTTTCCCCAGACCATGACCAGGAAGTATGCAATGGTCACACTCTGCGAGCCCTCAAAGGAGGAAGTCATTTGTTCAAGTTGGGGTTGCAAACTCCAGAGCTGCCATAGTTTCTGGCGGTGTGTGGTAATTTTCCCTTGTCATTAAATGACATATGTAAAAATGCTTTTCTGGGCCAGGTGCGGTGGTTCACACCTGTAATCCCAGCACTTTTGGAGGCTGAGGCTGGCAGATTGCTTGAAGTCAGGAGTTCGAGACCAGCCTGACCAACATGGTGAAACCCCGTCTCTACTAAAATATGAAAATTATCTAGGTGTGGCAACATAGCTTGTAATCCCAGCTACTTGGGAAGCTGAGGCAAGAGAATTGCTTGAAACCAGGAGGCAGAGGTTGCAGTGAGCCGAGATCGCACCACCGCACTCCAGCCTGGGCAACAGAGCAAGACTCAAAAAAAAAAAAAAAAAAAAGCTTTTCTGGAGGTGGAGAGAAGGTGAACTATTATTTTAAAACACCTACTATATAACAGACAGAGTCCAGTCAGGAGACAAAAATCACACCAGCAATTTGAATAAGGAAAATGTAATATAAAAAATTATAGGCCGGGCATGGTAGCTCATGCCATAATCCCAGCATTTTGGGAGGCTGAAGCAGGTGGATCACCTGAGGTCAGGAGTTCGAGACCAGCCTGCCCAATATGGTGAAACCCCGTTTCTACTAAAAATACAAAGATTAGCCGGGTGTGGTAGCGGGTCGCTGTAATCCCAGCTACTTGGGAGGCTGAGGCAGGAGAATCACTTGAACCCAGGAGGCGGAGGTTGCAGTGAGCCAAGATCACACTACCACACTCCAGCCTAGGCAACAAGAGCAAAACTCCATCTCAGAAAAAAAATATATATATTATGAAGTAGTAAAAGGTGTTAACTTCTAAAAGGGGCAAAAGAGGACTCTAAGGAATACAGGAATAATAAGTGCAGGAAGCACTTACTATTATAGAGGTAGCCCTGCTACCTCTAGGGCTGGGAAGATTACCCAGAGGAGGAGGTTAGAGCATGGATGAGAGTCCCACCTTGAGGGAGAGAGTGTGGCTGCAGACCACTGGGCAGTGGAGAAGGTCCGGGGTGCCAGTGGACTGGAGCTGGAGTACAAGAGCCTCCTCTGCTGGATGCTGGGGAAAATCACTGGAGAAAGCGCCACTGGATTTCCCCCTGCTGGGACAATCACACTGTGGGAGAAAAAAGGCACACTAGAGCCAAGAGGAGGAGCTCGTCCTCTGCTTTACCTTGCAGTGTCCAGGAGGAGCCAGAAGGAGGAGCTGGTCCTCTGCTATACCTTGCAGTTTCCCTCTAGCACCCTCTACTGACACAGTGTAACATTGCAACAGCTGACGAAAGAGAATTAGTAACAGGGTCCAGCTCCAGTATTACAAAGTAGGGCAAAGAAGAGTGGATTTGCAGTTGACAGGCAATAAATTGACAACAGGCACACCTACTCTGTGCCAAGCCCCATGTTATGCATTTCCAGCACGAATCTCATAATCTCATTGATAATTATTTGAAATAGATATTATAATTCCCATTTTAATGTTGAGAAAACACTAAAAGCTAGGAGAAGTAATCTGAGAAAAATATGCAGCTAGTATACTTTAAAATATGCAACAGGGCTGAGCTGATGTTTCACTGATGGGTGTGTGACTCTAGAGTATGTTTTTCTGGCTGGGCAACGTGACTCCTGCCTGAAATCCCAGCACTTGGGGAGGCCAAGGCAGGCAGATCACCTGAGGTCAGGACTTCAAGACCAGCCTGGCCAACATGATGAAACCCTGTCTCTACTAAAAATACAAAAGTTAGCTGGGCCTGGTGGCGGGCACCTGTAATCCCAGCTACTCGGGAGGCTGAGGCATGAGAATCACTTGAATCCAGGAGGCGGAGGCTGCAGTGAACAGAGATCACACCACTGCACTCCAGCCTGGGCAACAGAGTGAGACTCTGTCTCAGAAAAAAAAAAAAAAGTAAAGAGTATGTGTTTCTACATCAAGCTAGCAGTACCTGTCACTGTAAAGGGTTAAGGACAGTACAATTTTGTTCTCCCTCTCCCAGCCTCTTCTTCTCTATTAAATCACATAAGCCTTCCCAGCATTGGTTCCTGGACTTTGCCTTGGAGAGGCGGTGAGGCAGGTGCCCCGTAGGTGTCCTAAGGGCATGATTCTCAAGCCAGAATCACTGGGAAAGTTGGTGAAAATGCTTTCCTGGGCCTACCTCTGCAGAGTCCAATTTAGTAAATTTAGGGGGACTTAGAATCTGCATTTAATAAACTCCCCAGAGGACTCTAGTATACTGCAAGAGAAGAGCACCAATCTCCACTGGGCTAGGAGTGGAAAGTGAGGAGCTGCCGAGGCTTTGATGGGTGGAGGAGGGGCGTCATGCTAACAAGCTCTCTTGGCCCCAGCGCCCCATGGGAAGGTCAATATTGTACCTGATTTTCCAAATGAAAATCAAATACGGCACACGGATCTGCTTTATGGGTGATAAAGTTGCAATGGCTCTAACAGAGGTGAAATTGATTCATATTTGTCAGGCCGGGAGATGAGAGAACTAGGCTCCAGGACCCCTTGGCCTCTTGCCTGGCAGCCCCTGTAGACATATTTTTGGACAGGAGGTATTTCAGAGTGAGAGCATGCCACAGGTAACTTCACTTAGCTCAGAATGGGAGCCACCAGCTTTTGAGCACCTGTCATGTACAGGAATTAGGCTCCATTGTCTCCAGCCCTTAAACTCCCTTACAAGGATTAATACCAGAATGCTCAGATGAGGAAATGGAGGGTCTTGCCCCAGGCCATGAAGACACAAGGAGCAGAGTGCGGGTTGGTTGTACTCCAAAGCCATGCTCTTTCCATTGGCCCACACAGCTCTGGGAGAGGAAGACAGCTCCTGGCCCAGGCGTGCCTGCTCAAGGGAGAGCCGGCCAGTCCCGAGAGGGGCTAAGCATCTGCTGTCCTGGGCTGGGAAGGGCTGCTTCAGCACTGCCTGCCAGGAGGGCCTAGGAGTCTAGAGATGAGAGTGAGAGAGATTGACAGGAAACCTGGATGGTGCCTTTGTAAGGTACAGTGATCCATCTCAATAATAATTGTGTCACCTCGTCAATATCAAAATATCTCATCAGCTTTCATGAGTCACTGTAGGAATGGCCAGCTGTAAACTCACATCTAGAAAAGGGGAAAACTCAGAAATGTCTCAAGTGCCAGCCTGTTCAGTCCTATAAACTCTTCCATGCCATGCTGTCCATCCAGTGCAATAAGCAGAAAACTCGGTGAGCATGGGCTGACTCCAGGCCAAAACGAGCTCATATGCGTCTGTGACTCCACGAGGCTATGAGCACCTCAAAAGCAGCAGCTCTGCCTTGCCCAGGTTGATCTCCAGGGGCCAGCTTGCGCCTGTTGCCTCGCGAGCCCTCAGTAGGAAGCTGTGTGGCCTGTCCAAAAATATGCCTAAAGGAGCTGCCAGGCAAGAGGCCAGGAGGTCCTGGAGCCTAGTTCTCCCGTTTCCCAGCCTGACAAATATGAATCAATTTTACCTCTGTTGGAGCCACTGGAACTTCATCACCCATTAAGCAGACCCATGTGCCCTATTTGATTTTCATTTGGGAAACCAGGTACAATATTGACATTTCCATGGGGTCCTGGGGCCGAGAGAGCTTGTTAGCATGAAGCCTTTCCTCCACCCATCAAGGCTCCATCCCTGCCACCTACCTCCCAGCTGTTCAACCCTGACCCTAACCTCGGGGCCTAGCTGCTCTCCTCTGTCAAGTGGGCATTTTAAAATACTACCACTTGTCCAAACCCACAGATTGTACGTCACCAAGAGTGAAGAAAAACCTTCGGACTGTGAGTGATCATGCTGTATAGACATAGACTCACTGATTTTATCACATGTGCCACTCTGGTGTGGGATGCTGGCCACGGGGAGGCTGTGCATATGTGGGGGCAGAGGGTATACAGGAACTCTCTGTACTTTCTGCTCAGCCTTGCTGTGAACCTAAAACCGTTTTGAAAAAATCAAGTGTATCTAAAAGGCAGGGAGTTGGGAATACTGCCTCTTGAGGTTGCTGTGAGAATTGAATAAGATAATGTCAATGCACCCAGCGCGGTCTTTGGTGCACAGTGTGGTCCATGGTAGCTGAATGAGGGGCTATCACCCTCCTGAAACCCAGGAGGAGGCTGAGGGCAGTGACAGATGCTCACTTCTAGCACATCTCATCTCCTCCGGGGTGGGGATAGGTGAAAGAACTGAGGACCAGATGATCTTGCTAGTACTCAGGAGATAGGGCAGCAAAGATGACTCAAGAAAGAATAACAGGCCCAGGCCTAGGATCAGCCCCTCCCTCCCTCTCTAGCAGACAGATCTTCTCAGAGCCGACAGATCTTCTCAGAGCCAACAGAAGAAATGGGAGAGGACTTGGCTATTTGGCAAAAGCACAAATCTGGCTGGGCTATGCCCCGGCTCTCAAGTCCTCATCTGCTCCACAATGATCTCACCAGGCACACTGGCCTCTCCTCCCACTGGGTGGACCCTGCAGCCATTATGGGTGCCATTCAGCCGAGCAGGAAGAGAACAGGCTGGTGTCTGCAGACCTGCATTTCAGGCCCCATTCTGTGGCTGTGTGACTTTGAGAACATCTCTCCCTTCTCTGTGCCTCTGTTTCCCCAGGCCAGCTTTTCTCTCTTCCTTCACTGAATATGTCACTGAGTGCTATCCTTGAGCCAGATAATCCCTGAGGGTCCTTTCAATGTGATATGATTTTTTTTGTTTTTGTTTTTGTTTTTGTTTTTTGAGACGGTGTCTCACTCTGTCGCCCAGGCTGGAGTGCACTAGCATGATCTCGGCTCATTGCAAGCTCCGCCTCCCGAGTTCACGCCATTCTCCTGCCTCAGCCTCCTGAGTAACTGGGATTACAGGCGCCCGCTACCATGCCCAGCTAATTTTTTGTATTTTTAGTAGAGATGCGGTTTCACCGTGTTAGCCACGATGGTCTCGATCTCCTGACCTTGTGATCCGCCCGCCTCAGCCTCCCAAAGTGCTGGGATTACAGGCGTGAGCCACCGTGCATGGCTAAAATAATATATTTTAAATGCATTGGAGAAATATAAAACATGCAGACACGAAATATACAGATAAAAATGGAAATGTTTTCTTAATCATGGGAGATGGCACTTTTCCTCCTGAGTTCTGCCTGCGAATCTACATTTCTATAGACTTTGTGAACATGAATGTTTGCTTGGAAAGTGCCTGGATAGCTTTGAAGTCTGCAAGGCTGTGATCTTGCCCTCAGGATCTGGCTGATACTGGTCAATCACCTGCCTCCTTGCAAAAGGAGGGTAGCATGAAGCCGGGACAAACATGGATACTTCCTGGACCACAGCTCTTGAGTTCCCTTGAACTTCCCTCCACAGCCACACCTGTTCTCCCTGCCAGACCCGTCCCCTGGCCCAGAGCCTGTTGAGGAACCAGATCTCTGGGGGAGGCACAGGATGTGGAGGGACATGTATGAGTTTTGGCTTCAAACAGATATAATTTCAATCTTAGCTCTGCCATTGACTTGCTGTGTGACCTTGGGAAGTAACTTACCGTCTCTGAACCTTGTTGCCCTGTATCTATTTAGCAGAGAGAATAAATCTCTCTCTGACAGGGTCGTTGTAAGTATTATATAGAATGACACAGGTCATGTCTCTGGCCACATAAATAGCTGAGCCACTTTATTTAACAAGATAGTTGGAATCTCGTCCTTGGATGAGATAAACCGTATAAAGCGTTAGGTCGTGCCTAGGTAAGAACTTGCCTCTATTGGCTACTATCATCATCATCATGTTGCTCATTTTCATCACCATCTCTATCATTGTATTCCCTTCCCTGTGACCTCCAGGTGGCAGCATGGGGCCATGGAGCCACAGCCCTCCTCCTCAGGCTGTCACTTCAAAACTGTGAGCGGGCAGGACCCTTGGGTGACACTCCTTGGGTGACACTAACCTGAGCTGTCACCATGATAGCCAAGTGAGGAGCACTTAAACACCTTATTTTCATCCTTAGGACCTTCTGCAGGAAACAGTTATCCACATCGTATATGGATGAAAGGTGGGCTCGGGTGGGAGGAGCCACTAGTGGGAGTGGAGCCAGGAATCAAAGCCAGTCTCCACTACCTGCCGGCTGGGGCACCTGCCCACTGCGCTGGAGCCTCCGAGTGGGTTCCAGCATCTCACCTGGCAGGTAGGAAAGTGAGGCCAAGGGGCGAGGGGACTAGCCCCAGGATCGGGCTCCTAGGAAGGGCTCCTTCCCACAGAGCCCAGTCTCCGGGAGTGGCTCGTCAGCCACGGCCCCAGCACTGACTTGAGCCTCAGCCTGGGCTCCCTGGAGGGTCTTGGCAACCTCAGGGAAGCATCCCATGACTTGTCTCTTTCTGCCTTGCCCAGTGGGACCTCTTCTGATCCCCAAGTAATCTTTGCTACCAGGAACCAAAGTGATTTGTGGAAACTTCCTCCAAATCCCCAGCTAATCCTCTTCTTTTAGTGAGGTCCTTTAGCAATCACATTTGCTGCTTGGTGACCTCTAATCCCCTTATTCTCAAAGGTCCCTGGGGAGGCACATGTGCAGATGTGTGTCCCTGCTGGGGCCTCTTGAGCTGGTCCAGGCCAGAGCAGCATGTCTGTGACCACCAGCTTGTCCCACTCAACTTTGATCTGCTTTCCTCCCTCCTAGGGGTCTCACTTTAAAGTTGGCCAGGGAGAGGCCTTAGGTCTGTGCCCAGTGGTCTCTGGATAGGGCTTGCTGGCCATCAGCTGAGAAGCCCCAGTCCCCTGGCGTCTCCATGCTGATTGACTCTCAGAGGGATCCTCATATTTGAAGTTAGGGCCTCAGTTTCCTCCTCTCTTAAACAGGGATAACATTAGTCGTACCTCGAAGGCATGCAATGAGGAGTTACCAAGGTAATATATCCAATGAGGTTAAAGAAATCAGAATCAGTTAGCTATGTTACCTAGAGTATCTACCTGCCACCCCCACCCCTCAAGGACTCCGATCTCACCCGCCTCTAAAGGGGTCACCCCAGGGTACGCAGTTGCTCACAAAGGCTGAGAGATGTGATGGGGGGCAGTTCTTCAGCAAGCCGAGCCCACTGTGGGCTTTGCAGGTTCTGGGGACTCCCTGTCCCTCAACAATTCTGACTGGGAAGGGGTCCAAGAACCTGGAGCTGTAAGAAGGTGCGCTGAACAGAGGAGAGATTCGAGATATGGCTACACAGGGCCAGGGAGGCAGGAGCTGGGGAGGGGTGGCATCTGCCTCCCAGCCAGAACAGAGAGGGTGGTCCCAGCAGTGCCCAGGCAGTGGGGGAAGCCACAGCCTCAGGCGGGTGGCAGGGGAGAAGCAGAGGGGCTGGGTAAGGTAACTCTGTAAACTGGGGTAATTTATTTAATCTTTGAGCACAGTTACAGTATATATTTTGTGACCCACAAATCAGCAGGGTTCCCACTGCCCCCAAGAATGAGATAAGATTGGCTCTAGCACCCTGTGAGAGTTCAAGTTCAGGTCCCTCTCGGGGATTTATGCCGGTGCCCTGGCCTCCTGCCCCTGAGCTCTCTCCTCCTCCCCTCCGAACTCTGTAGCTGCTCTCTTATCTCTTCCTAGGTGTTGGCCTGATCATGAAATCCTTTTTCCTTTCCTACGGCCATGCTACACTGGGAAAAAAATGAAAACAAAACTCACCCTCTCCAGGATAGATGGTTCCAGGCCTTTTCTGGGATCATGCTTTGCTTAGGCCAAAGCTCAGGACCTCATCCTGGTCATCGAGGAGCTGCCCCTCCTAGGGACACACAAGCACATCCTTCTCCAGCTGCACTGTGAGATTACGTCCCAGAGACGGTTACCTGAGTGTGTGTCCTGGCAGCTTGTGTGTCAGATACACAAGGCCATGGCTTCAATTTCCTCAGAAATGTGTCATAATGAATGTGACCGACATCTTTCTCCTCTCTCAGCCTAGAAATCCTCAGCACTCTATTCCCTGGAGTTCCTCTAAGGAAACTGACATGCAAGGAGGCAAGGAATGGGGTCTTTCTCCCTAATCAGCTATCAAAAGTGATTTAAAAATGCATTGCCTTCAATCAATAATTTTCTATTTAAATATAACAGAAACATTTTGCTCACAATAAAACTTTATGCGGGAACTCCAATACATATTTAAAAAGTGAAAACAGAACTGCTTGGCTGAATCTGGGAGAGGCAGAGGGAATGATAATGCCTGCTCCTGGGCTTGTCTCTCCCAAACCCCATGGGAATCTCTGAGGCATTCTGGGCTCTGGAGAACAGAAAGAGAAATAAAAACTGTATCTTTAGCCAATGTAAAGTCATCCGGCTCAACTCTTATTAAGATAAATGTAAATTAAAACTGCACAGAGATACTATTTTTGCCCTACCAGATTGGCAAAGATCCAAAAGTTTGGGAATGTTCTATTTTGGCAAAGGTATAGGAAACGGGCACTCCTATGCATTTTAGGGGAGACTCTAAATTAGTGTAGTGCCTGGAAAGGGCAATATGGCAATATTCATAATACAAATGCACATACCCTTAGGCCTAGAAATTTCATGAGCAAGAATTTATGCTACAGATTATCTCTGCAGATAAGGGAAGTAAGCTTATAGTACTGATTGTTAACAGTGTCAAAGGCAGTAAACAACCTAAATATCCATCAATGGGCAGTTAAATAAATAGTATGTGATTAAACTAATGTTGTACCCATACTGTGGAATATTATAGAGTTATGAAAATTAGAAAATTCTTTGTGTTGATCAGGAAAGGTCTTCGAAACATATTGCTAAGTGAATTTAAAAAACAAGAAAACAGAACAGCATGCAAAGTATGCTACCATTTAGTGTAAAAATAATTGGGGAGAGGACACGGAGGTATTTTCTTGTAATTGCACAAGATATTTCTGAGAGGATAATAAGAAACAAGTAACACTGGCTTCCTAGAACCAGGTGGCCAGAGAATAGGGATGGGATGGAGACGTTTATTGCATACTCTTTTGAATTTTGAACCACGTAATTGTGCATCCTATTCAAGACTTAAATTTAAAAATGTATAAGAACAAACAACAAAAAGAAAATCATTGCATGAGATAAAACAAAGGTGTATGTTATTCTTCTGCTTTAACTATACATAGAATAATCTGTACTCTCAAAGAATCCAAAAAGTAAAAATACAAATAACATTTTTAAAGATTACCTAACAAGTAAGCTCCAAGACTCTTAAACTCCAAAGCTGTGGATTTCTGGCTCCTGCTTAGGGTGTAGAAAGCTGCAAAGAGCGTTGCTGTCATCCTTACCAAAAGAAAAAGCCAACAATCTGCAAAATGACTTTTCTTGATCTCATCAGAGAACTGGGATTGCGAGTAACAAACTAACCCAAAATGTAAGAAAAAGCAGGCACCTCCAAAGGGAGACAGAACACAGGTACTTGCTTACATGTCAGACTCCATACAAACTGGAAAGAATTCAGCCAAACTTCCTAACAAATATGTGGGGGCTGTATAATCGTATAGACCCCTTGGGAGTTGTAGACATAAGGGGAATCCACGGTCCATTGCAATCTCTTCTCCATAGACCACACTAGATGCTCACAAGAAAGCAGGAGGGTGAGAAATATGATCAGACCTCTCTCCGGGTTCAGGGGAAAAGTGTTGCAGGGAAGCTCAAAGTTCCACACAGACCCTTCTCCCTATATCCCCTGTGGAAAAAAAAAGCAAACAAACTATTGGAGAAAAGACAGCAAACTTTGTTGTCCTTAGGGAGCAGGTGAAAATCTGTCACAGCTGCGAGAAGAGAAGAGTAAAAACTCTCTGCCCTGGGTGAGGGGAAAAGATATGAGCACACCAGTAGAGTCTCCTACAGAGAGGGAAGGGACAGGATCACTGAAATATCACTGCCCTTGAGACACAGGGCCATAGCTTCTGCCTAAGACTGAAGCTGAAGCAGAATAGCAGACAATGCCCCTCAACCCTGCCCTGTTCTCCAACTTCAGGCTAAAAGGGTTAAGTAACAAGTAACAGCAATCTATTGCTGGAGGAGGATCAAGAGTATGAAGAGAAATTTTCTTGAAGGTGTAGCCACAAAGGGAAGTCCTGAAGCTGATGGTGAAATAGACATTAAGCAACACCCTCTGGCAAACCAGCTACCACCCTAAACACAAGGCACTTCAAGAGAAATTTAAAGCCTATGATGCACTAACAATAGCCATAGTAACAGTAAAACCTAAACACAGCTCAACTCCTGACTAGTTTGCTCAAACCTCCATAACAAAGGCCCAGTAAAAGACAAGGCATGCCCATTTCCAGCCGTCAGTCTGTACTGTTCTGCACAATATGTCTGACTTTCAACAAAGAAGTTACAAAGAACACAAAGAAGCAAGAAAAAAATAACGCCCAATAAAAAGATAAGGCAATCAGCAGAACTAGACTCAAACTTGCCAAAGGTGTTGAAATTATACAAGGAATATAAAATAACTCCAGCTAATATGTTAAAAGTTTTAGTGAAAAGGTGAGCAACATGTATAGTCAAGTTGGTAATTCCAGCAAAGAGAGCAAAACTAGAAATAAAAAACAAATGGAAATGCTAGAAATGGAAAACAAGGAGCTGGAGAATGCTATTGAAAGATTCATCAGTAGAGTTGACACAGCTAAGAAAAGAAACAGTGGATTAGAAGTCAAGTCAATAGAAATTATTCAAACAGCAACACAAAGAGAAAAACAAGTGAAAAATGGAACAGAATTGAAGACCTATGGGACAATATGAAACAGTCCTAACATGGATGGAAGTGAAATCCCAGAAGGTGAAGAGGGAGAGAACAGGGCAGAAACAGTATTTGTAAGGATGGTTGCTCAGAGTTTTTAAAAATAATGACACCAAACTACATTCATTAACCTAAGAAGAGCAAACAGGATAGAAGAAAAATAAGAGAAAGAAGGAAGAGAAAGGGAGGCAGGAGGAAGAAGAGGAGTAAACGTAAACATATTATATTCAAACAGCTAAAATCCAAGAACAAAGAGAAAATTTTGAAGGTACCCAAGGAAAAATGACACATAATATAGACCAACAAAGGAGAGAGTATAGCAGACTTCTTTTCAGAAACTATGTAAGCCAGAGCACAATGGAACAACATCTTTAACGTGCTGAAAGGAAAAAAAGACTTTAACTCAGAATCTATTCCCACTGAAGATATCTTTCCAATATAAAGGAGCAATAAAAAAATTTCAGGAAAATAAAAACATCAAGTCCATTGCCAGCAGGCCAGTGCTACAAGAAATATCAAAGGAATTTCTTTAGAATAAAGTATATGATAGTAAACAGAAACAAGTACCTACAAAAAGAAATAACAAGCATTGGAAATGGCATAAATGAAAATAAATTTTCAGTTGCTCCACAAGATAACTGTCTGCCTGAGGCAAAATGCTTGTAATATCTTGGGTATTTACAGCACATATAAAAGAAAAATGTAAGACAACACTGGCACAAACGATGGGAGAGAGAAATCAGGAATATATTGCTATAAGACCCTTACTGTACAAATGAAGCCATATGATAGTATTTGAAGTTAGACTGTGATGAATATTTATAAGTATTATAAATAAATTTAAAATGAAATAAAAATAACCCAGTAATAGATATAAAATAGAATAAGTAATATTCAATCTGAAAAAAGAGAAAAATAAGGAAAAATGAAATAGGAAAAAAGCTAGCAAGATTGTAGATTTTAATCCAAACATATCAGTAATTATATTAAATGTAAATTGCATAATATACTGTTATAGACCGAATACTGTCTCCCTAAAACCAATTTGTTGAAGCCCTAACCACTAGTACCCTAGAATGTGACTCTATTTGGACATAGAACTTTTAAAGAGGTAGTTAAAGTTGAACGAGATGATAAGAATAGAGCCCAATCCATTATGACTAGTGTTCTTATAAGAAGAGAGATACCAGAGATACGCACACACACAGAAAAGGCCACATGAAGACACAGGGAGGAGGCAGCCATCTGCAGGCCAAAGAGAGAGGCTTCAGCAGGAACCAACCCTACTGTCACCTTCATCTTGGACTCCCAGCCATACTCTCACCTTCATCTTGGAGTCCCAGCCTCTAGAACTGTGAGCAAATACATTTCTGTTGGTTAGACCGCCCAGTCCATGATATTTTGTTATGGCAGCCCTAGCAGACTAATGCATACACAAATTAAAAAGTGCAATTGTCAAATTGGATTTTTTTTAAAGACAAAACTATATTCTGTCTCTTATTATACAGTTAGGATAAAACTAAAATAATGGGGAAAGATATATTATGCAAGCCTTATTTAAAAGTAAGCTGGAGTGGCCACATTAATATTAGACAAAATAGACTTCAGAACAAGAAATATTACTAGTCATAGAGGTGGCCAGTATACAATGATTATAGGGTAATTCCACTGAAAGACATGATAATCCTAAATATGTGTACATCTAAAATGAGAGCTTAAAAATACATGAAGCAAAAAATGATATAACTGAAAGGAGAAATAGACAAATCCACATTATACGTGGAAACTACAATGCTCCTCTGTAAATAACCAATAAAAGGAGTAGTCAGAAAATCTCTAAGGATATAGAAGACCCAAACAATATTGTCAATTAACTTCATCTAATTGATATTTGTAGAATAGTTCACACAACAAGAGCAAAATACTCATTCAAGAACACATGGAATAGTCACAAAACAGATCATGTTCAGGGTCAGTTTTAATACTTACACATTCAAAGGAATTTACATAATAGAAAATAAGTTAATTGACCACAGCAGAATTAAACTAGAAATCAAAACCAAGAAGATATCTGCAAAGTCCTCAAATAGTTGGAAATTTTAAAACACCCTTCTACATAATCTATGGGTCAAAAGGAAGTAACAGAAAATTAGAAAATAATTTGAACTGAATGAAAATATAAACAAAATATCAAGCAATCAAGCATTGTGTGATGCATTTCAGTCAGTACTTTGAGGGAAAATGTATAGCACTAAATACTTACATTAGGAAAGAATAAAGGTATAAAATAAATGACTAGTCTTCCACCTTATAAAACTAGAGTAGAAAGCAAATTAAACTCAAGACAGGCAGAAGAAAGAAAACAATATCAATATAAGAAAGATGAGAAATAAATGAAATTGGGCCAGGTGCAGTGGCTGATGCCTGTAATCCCAGCACTTTGGGAGGCCAAGGCAGGTGGATGACCTGAGGTCAGGAGTTCGAGACCAGCCTGACCAACATGATGAAACCCCGTCTCTACTAAAAACACAAAAATTAGCTGGGCGTGGTGGTGCACGCCTGTAATCCCAGCTACTTGGGAGGCTGAAGCAGGAGAATTACTTGAACCCAGGAGGCAGGGGTTGCAGTGAGCTGAGATTGTGCGACTGCATTCCACACTGGGGAACAAGAGCAAAACTCTGTCTCAAAAAATAAAAATAAAAAATAGAAATATATGAAATTGACAGAAAAACAATATAAAAAAGTCAACAAAATGAAAAGCTGGCTCTTTGAAAAAAAATGAATAAAATCGATTAACTTCTAAGCCAGACTGAAAGAGAAGACCAAATCACCAAATGCATTAAATATATCAGTTTCAAATTCTGCGATATATGCAATATCTATATTTTGAAATTTATAAAACACTGATGAAAGACATCAAAGGAAGCCCAATATTAGGATGTCAATTCGCTCCAAATTGATCTATACATTTGATTCAATTTCAATAAAACTCTCTGCAAATTTTTAATAGAAATTGACAATCTGAGGCTAAAATTTGTATGGAAAGGCAAAGGAACTGGAATAGCCAAAACAATTTGGGAGAAAACAAAAGCAAAGTTGGAGGAACCATGCTACCTGATTTCAGGACTTACTATATTTATCATAAAACTATAGCAATGAGGTCAGTGTATGATTTTGGAGGGAAAAAGAAAAAAATAGATATGTCAATGGTACAGAATATAGAGTCCAGAAATAGATACACACATATAGTCAACAACTTTTTTACACAAATACAAAGGAAATTCAGTAGAGAAAGGATAGTCTTTTCACAAATGGTGCTGAAACAATTAAATATGCATAGGCAAAAAGTAAACCTCCAATCCATACTTCCCACTCCAATGTAAAAACTACCACAAAATGGATCATAAACCTTAATGTAAAATTATAAAACTTCTAGAAGGAACACAGAAGAAAATCTTTGTGACTTTGGGCTAGGCAAAAATGTCCTCAACTCAATACTAGAAGCATGATTCAGAAAAGAAAAAAATTGCTAAGTTGATTTCATCAAAACGTTAATAACTTCTGTTGTTTGAAAGACACTGATAAGAGAGTGAAAAGACTAACCACAGACTGGCAAAAAACATTGGCAAATCACATATCCAAGAAAGGATTC
This sequence comes from Homo sapiens, assembly GCF_000001405.40. NCBI lineage: Eukaryota > Metazoa > Chordata > Mammalia > Primates > Hominidae > Homo > Homo sapiens. Next base: position 30,698,632 of record NC_000002.12, on the reverse strand, counting down.
GTATCCAGAATATAAAAAGAACCCTCAAAACTCAATAGTAAGTAAAGAAGCAACTGAAATTTTTAAAAGGGAGGGCAAATACTTGTAACAAAATAGATTTGTAGATGGCAAATAACTACTTGAGAAGGTGTGCAGTCTGGGCATGGTGACTCACGCCTGTAATCCCAGCACTTTGGGAGGCCAAGGCAGGTAGATTGCCTCAGGTCAGGAGATGGAGACCAGCCTGGCCAACATGGCGAAACCCCATCTCCACTAAAAATACAAAAATTAGCCAGACATAGTGGTGCATGCCTGTAGTCCCAGCTACTTGGGAGGCTGAGGCAGAATGGCTTGAACCCAGGAGGCGGAGGTTGCAGTGAGCCTAAATCACGCCACTGCACTCCAGCCTGGGCGACAGAGCAAGACTCCATGTCCAAAAAAAAAAAAAAAAGGTGTGCAACATCATTAATCATTAGGGAAATGCAAATTAAAACCACAATGAGCTATACAATTAAAATGGTTAAAATAAAATAACCTGACAATACCAAGTGCTGACGAGGATGAGAAATGTAGGGTCCAGCCCCACAGGGTCGGTGGGTTTTTCTCCCCATGTGTGGAGACGAGAGATTGTAGAAATAAAGACACAAGACAAAGAGATAAAAGAAAAGACAGCTGGGCCCAGGGGACCACTACCACCAAGATGCAGAGACTGGTAGTGGCCCCGAATGCCAGGCTGTGCTGATATTTATTGGATACAAGACAAGGGACAAGGTAAGGAGTGTGAGCCATCTCCAGTGATAGGTAAGGTCACGTGTCCACTGGACAGGGGGCCCCTCCCTGCCTGGCAGCCGAGGCAGAGAGAGAGAGGGAGAGAGAGAGAGACAGCTTATGCATTTATTTCTGCTTATCAGAGACTTTTAGTACTTTCACTTATTTTGCTACTGTTATCTAAAAGGCAGAGCCAGGTGTACCGGATGGAACATGAAAGCAGACTAGGAGTGTGACCACTGAAGCACAGCATCACAGGGAGACGGTTAGGTCTCCAGATAACTGCGGGCAGGCCTAACTCATGTCAGGCCCTCCACAAGAGGTGGAGGAGTAGAGTCTTCTCTAAACTCCCCCAGGGAAAGGGAGACTCCGTTTCCCAGTCTGCTAAGTAGCGGGTGTTTTTCCTTGACACTGACGCTACTGCTAGACCACAGTCTGTTGGCAACGGGCGTCTTCCCTGACGCTGGTGTTACCGCTAGACCAAGGAGCCCTCTGGTGGCCCTGTCTGGGCATAACAGAAGGCTCGCACTCTTGTCTTCTGCTCACTTCTCACTATGTCCCCTCAGCTCCTATCTCTGTATGGCCTGGTTTTTCCTAGGTTATGGTTATAGATCGAGGATTATTATAATATTGGAATAAAGAGTAATTGCTACAAACTAATGATTAATGATATTCATATATAATCATGTCTATGATCTAGATCTAGTATAACTCTTGTTGTTTTATATATTTTATTATACTGGAACAGCTCATGCTCTCGGTCTCTTGCCTCAGCACCTGGATGGCTTGCCACCCACAGAGAAACAATTGGAATACTCATTCAGTGCTGGCGGGAATGAAAAAGGGTAGAGCCACATTGGAAAAGACTTTACCAGTTTCTTATAAACAAACATCTAACATACAGCCCAGTTATTCTATTCCTAGGATTTACCGTAGGGGAAAACAGGTTCACATAGAAATCTGCGTGTTTACTGCAGTTATACTCACAATGGCCCCAAACAGGAAACAACCCAGCTGTCCCTCAGCTGGGCAATTGATAAACTGTAGTACGTTCATGGAGTACTATTTGGCAATATAAAGGAGTGACTACTGACACATACTGCTGCAGGGATGAATCTCAAAAGCATTATTATGCTCAGTGAGAAAAGCCAGACTTGAAAGGCGAAATACTGCATGCTTCCATTCATATGACATTCTGGAAAAGGCAAACTATAGGAGCAAAAAACTGGTTAAGTGATTGCCAGTAGCTGGATGTATGGAGATCAATACAGAGCAGATGGGGGAAGTGTTTAGAATCTTGGGACCATTCGGCTTGTATCTTGATTGTGATGCAGGTTACACCAATGTATTTATTTGTCAAAACTCACAGTACTGTATACTAAAAAGAATGAATTACTGTATGTAAATTATACTTTAATTGTTAAGAAACAGTGGGTGGAAGGGATGGCTATACACCTATCTACTTATGTTCTAGAACTTCCCCATGGCCACACAGCTTACAGGGGATATAACCAGGATTCCACCTGTCAATTTTCAAAGCCCACGTTCTTTCCATAGAAGCCCTCTGCCTTTTCTTAGAGAAAAGTAAAACAACACTTGTATTGTGCTTTACCATTTAGAAAGCACTTTTTAAAAGTCCTTTTCCATGGCCCAGCTCATTCAATCCTCACAAAGCCCTCTGCAATATTATCACCACTCTCCTGTAACAGATGAAGAAATTGAGGCTCAGAGAGGTTTGATGAGCTGCACACGGTCCTCCAGCGAGTCAGCGACAGGCCTAGAGCTTCTGACTCTAGTGATGGTTCCTGCCCCCAATAGCTGTAAACCTTGGTATGGAGGGTGCTATCCCCAGGGACTCCCACACTGTCTGGCTTCTTCTGTGACCTGGTGGCCCCTCCAGGAAGGGTCCCCACCCCAAACTCAAGCAAGCATTTACCCACTCATCCATACACTAAGTAATGTCCTATTCTCCAAAAGCCGCTGGAACTGCTGTCTTGGGAGGGGCAGCTCAGGGCTCTGCAGCCCCCAGCACAGCCCAAGTTCCACTAGGAAATTACCTTAGGTTTGAGTCCCTTAGGTCAACTCTTGTCCCCTTTCTACCAGATCCCAACCCTGTCTCTCCCTTCCCAAACCCCTGGTTCTTGAGCCTGTAAGACACCTTCTGCTGATGTTCTCTGGGTCTCAAATTTGGTCCTTTCTCTAGATTTGGTCATTTTTCTCTCTCTCTTCAATTATTTGATACCTGAACCCAGCATCTGTCTGTAACTCAGCTAAAGAGACCTGGAGCCAAGTGCTCCCCCACCTCCTCCCTTTCTGATTTACTGCCTGGAGACCTTTGCAGCTCTGACAGTCCCAGCGCCCAGATCACACAGGAGGCACCTGCTCACCCTGTAGGTAGGAATCCTCCAACCCACACTTGAGGCATTTGTGTTGGTAATTTAATTTAAATGCAGAATGAAAGATGCTCATCCTGGTAACAGTTCATCTTACTCTTCCTCAGGCTTGCCCTAAAAATCCTGAATCTTGCTTCAGACTTCCCTTACCCCAGGTCTCAGCTTTGGGTCACCTGCAAATGGGGTACCTCTGCTCTCTGTGACTTCTTGGAAGCCAGAGAGAAAAGTGTTCTTTCTGACCTGGTTCACCCAACTGCTACCCTGGCAGGTGTCTCTCAGAGCTTTCTCTTGCCCTCATCCAATTTCCCATAACATTAAGTGTTCAGTGAAGTTGGAGGCAAAAATATAAATGAACAAACTCAGTTTCCTTTTTGTTTCTCCTGTTCCTCCTGTCTATCTGCCTTTCTATGCATCATGCTAGATAAGTCTGAATCAGCCAAAGAGAGTCACGGAATTTTAGCTCTTGGACCATGTGCCTGCCTCTGTGTGTGTGCACAGATGTGTGTATGTGTATGTGCGTGTGTGTGCATGTGTGGGGGGTATGTTTATACAAAAGAAATGTGTGAGAGACAGAAGCAGAGGCAGGAAGAAATGAATAGGAATGACACTTTTTTTTTTCTTGAAGGGAGAGAGCCAGAAATTACATCCGCTCAAAAATATCCTGCCTCTTTCATAGATAAATATAGCATCGTGAGTAGATGTATCACTGAATGATACTTTCAAAAAAAATCTGGGAAGGTCACTTGAAGAGGCTGTCCCTGCTGGCTCTCTCCCCTTGCTTGACTGTCCCCCAGTCCCTCATTCCCTCCCAGAGCTCTCAGACTATGGTCAGGAATAAGAGGTGGGGGAAGTGTACAGGCTTCCCACTAGGCATTCTGGAAAGGGGAGAATAGCAGGAACAATGGTGCTGCTTAAAACAGACTACTGGCCAGAGGCTCCAGGTGACCAAATGTCTCCCTCACAGGGAGGCACTCGAGAATCCACACCTCCCTGTTACAGAGAAGTAAAAGCTCAGCACGGGAGGCCAGCCCCATAGAAATGTATTTACCAGGTGTGCTGGTTGGTAGCAGGTAATTGGAGCTTAAGAATACTTGATTTAGTTCCAAGGGGTAGAGTAAAATGGTTTAATCCCTGGCGAGGTGCAGGCAGCTGCCAGCCAGAAGGGACTCCAGCCCCTGACAATGGGAGGCAGAGCGGTCATAGCACTGTGTACCAGCTGAGCATCAGTTCCACTTAGACTAACATGCAACTGATCCTTCCAACAGTCCGCAGAGGTAGACATTGCCATCCCATCTACAGCTGGAGAGACTGAGGACAGGAATGAGTCAGTGATTTATCCAGGGTCTCGTGGTCAGTCATGGTAGAGCTGGGCTTTGTCTCTTCCAAGTGTCAAGAAAGGTCCCCTGCCTTCCACTCACTCCACATGAAGGAGATAAGAGGTTCTGCTGGCAAGCCAGCCCAGCCTCGCCTGTCAGCAGAAGCCCGAGCCAGCTGTGATCATGGAAGGGCAGCTCCTGGGTCCTAACCCCTGTGAGAACAGAGAGCTGTCAGGTAGCTGCAGCTCCTCCATGAAAAAGCAGGGGCTAGGGGCCATTTTGCAGTTCTGAGCTTCTCAGCTCCTGATTCCTGTGGAGCACCCTTCCAGTGCCTCAAGGCAAGGCTCAGCATTGGTCCATCCAGCTTGGCTGTAGGCTGGGACACCTCTCTTACCTGGACAAGTAGTATCACCCTTTACTGTGCGTTCTGAGCTTCTTAACATCTGTATTCATCTGCTCGAGCTGCCATAACAAAATATCATAGACTGAGTGGCTTATTTCTCACAGCTCTGGAGGCTGGAAGTCCAGGATGAAGGGACCAGCACTGTCAGGTTCTGGTGAGGGCTCTCTTCCTGGCTTGTAGGCAGCCACCTTCTTGCTGTGTCAGAGAGAGAGAGAGAGAGAGAGAGACAGAGAGAGAGAGAGGAGAGAGAGAGAGAGGAGAGAGAGAGAGAGAGAGAGAGGAGAGAGAGAGAGAGGAGAGAGAGAGAGAGAGAGAGAGAGAGAACTGTATTCCATTGTTTCTTCTTATCAGAGCACTAATCCCATCTGATCAGGACCCCACCCTTAGGTCCTCATTTAACATTAGTTACTTTCTTAGAGGCCTCATGGGCTGGGATTTAGGGCTTCAACGTATGAATTGTAGGGGAACATGAAAATTCAGGTCATAACATCTTTTGGAGTCAGACTTGGATTCAGTTTTAACCTCTACCCCTCTCTAGCTCTGGAAAAGTTCATGCCTCATATTACTTTCCTGTTGTTGCTGAAACAATTTATCACAAAATGAGTAGCTTAAAATGACAAATATGTATGATCTCACAGTTCTAGAGGTCAGACACCAAAATCAGCCTCACTGGCGTAAAGCCACGGTGGTGGCAGGGCTGCGCCCCTTCTGGCTCTAGCTAGGAGTGTCTTCACTTCCTTGACTTTTGCAACTTCTAGAGGCTGCCCGTGTTCCTCGGCCCATGGCACCACATCACATGGACAACAGCTTCCGTGGTCATATCTACTCTCTGACTCTGACCCTCTTGCCTCCCTCTTGTAAGGACCCTTGTGATTCCATTGAGCCCACACGGATAATCAGGGTCATCTCCCCATCTCAAGATCCTTTACCTGATCACATCTGCAAAGTTCCCTTTGCCATGTGAGAAAACCAATCCATAGGCTTTACAGATGACGATGGGGACTTCTGATTTACTTTGGGCTTTGTGGGCTGAGGGCATCCTGAAGTGGCCTAGCTTGGGGCCTCTCCATCCTGTGTTTATTAAACTGGCCTGGATCATCCTGAACCTTGCTTCAGATTTCTCTTACACAAGGCTCCCCACTCCCTGCCTCGGCATTGGGTCAGCTGCAGTTCTGCCCTCTGGGTGTCACTGGAGACACAGAGCAATGCACAGAGCAATGGCTCCTGCTGACCCAGCCCCGGACAGTACCTCCTGGGGTTCTCTCTCGCCTCTCCATGTGCCTGAAGACCAGGCATGTTCCTACTGAAGCTGGGACTCAGCAACACCCGACCTTCCTCTCAACTCCTCCCAGCCTCTGGACTGAGGCTGACCCTGAATTCCCAAGTCTGGTTCTCAGCCACACCTGCCCCACACCGAGGCCTGAACCAGGAGGGCTTAGGGCCCATGGCAGTTGGTCGAGCATGAAAATCCCGCAGGCCCAGGGCCACGTGCTGTACCAGGGAAGACTGCGGGTGGGGGTGGGGTCGTCTCCCTCTTCATGGATCTTTCCCCTGTGGGCAGCCCCCACCCCCAACTTCAGAAACCAGCATCTTCACACCTCCCATCCCCTGAGAGCGGATGTGATCAGGTCAGCTTGGAGCTGCCTCAGGCTCTGGGGCTTTTCCCCAGATCTAGGCCACAAGCCTCCCATCGCAGGGAGCGGGGAAGGAGTTCAGGGCCATGGACTCACTGGAGGGGCAGGGAGGGGCCGCTGGCCCTGAAGCAGGATTCCCACGCAGAGCTGGTGAGGGCAGCTGGGGTGACATCCCCAGACTAGAGCCAGGCAAAGCCCCTGTTCAAGGCTGGAGCCCCCAGGGATGCCCCAAGGCCTCTGAGTGGGGGCTGTGGTGGGGTGGTGGGTCAGCTTCTGTGAATGAAGCCCATGGCTCTCCAGATCTCCACATCCCCCAGTGTGGCCTGGGCCTGTTGTTGCCTCAGCACTGGAGAGGGAGGAGGGCTGAGAGAGCCTCTCTTCTTCCACAGTTTGAGCTGCCCCCTCACCAGCTGTCTGGTCCCCTGTTTCCCTTGGGCTGAAGCTAGGTGGAGAAAAGGACACTCCAATTGAGCCCCTACAGGCAGGAAAGCCACACAGGTAGAGTGACCACATACTTTCCTGCCTAGAACCTCCATGGACATCTCCTGCCCAGCTTCCCAGCCTCCTCTGTCACAACTCCTTCCATTTCCCATGAGTTCCAGCCATAATGGCCCAGTGGCCACACCCGAAATCATGCACCTCTGTGCCTCTGAAACTGTGCCTCTGTGCCTCTCGAAATGCACCTCCAGGCCTCTGGTCCTTTGCACATGCTCCACCTCTGCTTCTGCCATCTTTCCTTTGCTCCTCCCCCTCAGGGGGCCTAGCCATCCCTCACGCCCAACTCAGACAGCTCTGTGTGGTGCCCCTCTTGCACCCCCAATGTGATTACTGCTCCTTCCTCAGTATCCCCAAAGGGTGTACACAGCTCTTCCCTGACATGCAGGGCATTGGCAGAAGTGTGGTCTCTGTGAGCCTGTCTCTCCCCGGGATCGTGAGCATCGTGAGGGTGGGAAGCAGGTCTTATTTTTGGAAACCCTAAGGACTGCCACGAAGCTGGACTAAAGGAGGTGTTCAGGAGGGGTTCACTGCCTTTATGAGGCACCAGCTGTGTACAATGTGCTGCCCAAAGCATTAATGTTCTGGTGTTTTAGCAACTTTATAAACCAGGTGGAAAAACAAGATACCCACCCTGCCTGGCAGGAGAGGCTCTCACTAAATTGAACCAACAAATAAGCAAGATACAAAGAAACAGAAGAGCAATGAAAGCAAGCGTAGTTTATACCGGGGGTCTCCAGAGTGGGGCATGTCCACCAAATTCATTTGTTCCCAATGCAGGATCAAAATGTGGATGCTCTGTTTACATTTATTTATATCCTTTCACTTTTCCATGCTTTTCTTTTTTAAAAGTTTTAATGTGTATAATACACAGATCTGTACAGTAATTTACGTCAAATAATTTGTAAATGAATACAATATACATTTAACAGGGGGCAAGCTGAAAGATGTTTTAGTCATATAACTTTGGAATAAATTGGGTTTAAACTGTGCTAAGTGAGAGCCCTGTAGTAGGGGGAGCATCAGAAATGCTTCCTGGTGACGTGGGCACCTCCCAGCCCCATTCCCCCCTCATTAAGGACATGGACCCTCAGGGTCTGAGTTTCTGCCCAGATGACAGGCCCTTTCCATCCACTACCTGTGGCTCAGCCCCTGCCACCTGGTGCCATCATCTTCCCAAGCCAAGGCAATGATCCAGGGACACCTTCTCCCGAATAGGGTACTTGGCCTGCCCTGCTCCCTCCTAGGGCCTCACCTCTGCCTGCAGGAAGGAGGGGTGGCTGGAATGGGCCGCTGCTGAAGCCAACCTGGGAGAACAGTTCCGACGTGGGGAATGTGGATGGAATTATTTTCTTCAGATTTCCCAACAAAAATAACTTGGAATTTATGTCCTTGGACATGCTGTTCCATGTTTCTGCTCAAATTCCTCCCACTGCTGCCTAGGAGCCTTTAGATTTGCAAACAGCCCGGTCTTGGCATTTGGAGGTCAGAGCCATCCATCTTTATTTTAACAGGGATTCTTTAAGTTCCCACTGAGCACCAGGCCTGAGGCTGGGCCTTGGGGATTCCAGATGAACTCAGCACAGAAGGGGAGAGGGGCAGGGACCTCTTATTTGTGATTTTATTGTTATCTTTGTGCTGGGCACTTAGTAAGAGATGAAGGCCTCCTGCCAACCTTTGAGGGACAGATGATCATTTTCCCATTTTACCAATGAGGAAATCAGGATCTGGCAGGCTGAATGTCTGTCCTCTCCCCACCCCGTCACCAGGAGGGATGAGGGATCCCACCAGAGAGGCTGTAAGGCACTGACTGATCAGGCCACAGGAGAGGTGACAAAGGCTGATATTTGGCTCTGGCCTGACCCACTGGGACCCGGCTTCCAGCTCCTCACCTGGCGATGAGGCAGGAGGGTCACATGTCCCCTGAGGTCTCTGCCAGCCCTGACCTTCTTGGCTCTGTCTGGGCTCATCCGACCCTACCCTGCCTTCTCCATTTTCCAGTCTGAGCCAGGAGCCCTTCAAACGGTGGGCCACCCAACAGGGACCTGGCACCACTGTGTGGTGTCTGAGAAATTGCAAACAATGATGACAGGCAGTTTCCTTCCTGAGAAGTAGGGAGGCACACGAGCCTTGTTCTCCTCTGTGCCCATTCCACCATAGGTGCAGGGGAAAAGTGTCACCCTTTCCTTGGTCTCATAGCCTCTGGGGCATTCTGTGAATGAGTCTGAAAACAAGCCATTGCAGGGAGGGAAAAATAAGCTGCTTACCCCAGAATGGCTCTCTGAAGCTCTGCCGGCCACCTCCTCCCAGGCCTTTGCAACAGAGACACCCTCCTCTGTTGACAGGGTAGGTCACCCTAGGAATCAGGCAGTTCTCTCTTAGGTGTCAGCTTGCAGCACTCCCATGAGGACAGGCTGGGTCAGGAGCCCACCCTCTGCTCTGATGAACTCCCACAGACCCAGGATGGAAAGGCCACAGACTCCCTTTTGCAGCTTTCCCTGGTGGAGGGACAGGTTGAGGGACAGGCTCCAGGCCAGAGGCACTCGGCTTCCATCCAGGGAGAAAAGCTGTGCAGACACGTTTCCCTCGCTAGTCACTAGGACTGAGAGCAGGGAATGAGTGAAGCTGGGACCAGCCAGGCCATGGTGCCAGCTGTGCCTGAAGCAAATACTAACAACAGCTATAATTAGCAGTAATGACCCGAATGGCTAGCATACTGTGCTGATGGATTTACAACAGGGGCGGTGGGGCTGTGGAGAGAATTCGAAGGGTCTGTGAACTTGAATGGGGAAAAAATTTATATCCTTATTTTCACTAACCTTCCACTGAAATTGAGTATCTCCTGCTCTTCTGAATGTAGTCAACAGGCCTCAGACATTTTAGCAGCATCTGCGACTTGCCAGTAGAAATCAAAGTTACATTTCATATCACTGCATTTGTTACGATATCTGAAATTATTGTTTAAGCTAATCACTGCTTCAGAATTATGGGGGTTGCGAGATCTGTCACTAGATCTTGTTTGTCGTGTTAACAAGAATCTGTGATGTGATATCAAAAATTTTAGCTTCTATAAAAATATTGTGATAACTGTATTTCAATGTAATTGGTGTTATCCTATGTCTTCTGTTTCATGCATTTAAAAATATAGCTCTGAGGAGGGATTCAAAGCTTCACCAGGCTGCCTTAACGAGGAAGAGAGGGGCTGCTCTACTGGCATAACCTTGAACAATGCTCCCAACCAGCCAGTGTGGGGGCAGGGCTGGAAGGACCTAGGTTGGCCTGCATACATTTTGGGGGTGCAGATCCCTTTGTTCAAAAAAAGTTTTTCAGGGGCTGGGCGCGGTGGCTCACACCTGTAATCCCAGCACTTTGGGAGGCTGAGGCAGGTGGATCACTTGAGGTCTGGAGTTTGAGACTAGCCTGGCCAACATGGTGAAACCCCATCCCTACTAAAAATACAAAATTTTGCCGGGCCTGGTGGCATACACCTGTAGTCCCAGCTACTCAGGAGGCTGAAGCAGGAGAATCACTTGAACCTGGGAGGCAGAGATTGCAGTGAGCCAAGATCGCAGCACTGCACTCCAGCCTGGGTGACAGAGTGAGACTCCGTTTCCAAAAAAAAAAAAAAAAAAAAAAAAAAGAGTGTTTCAGGAAGGCCAGCGTGACATCATATAAAGGTGGGACTGCTCTGGTAGAATTTGGGGGCAGGGGGTCCTTGGAGCTTCCTTACCCTGCCTACCGAGCCCTTTCATTAGATGCCGTCCTGCTCTTCCCCGCTTCCAAAAAAGCTCCATGGACTTCCTCAGTTTCCACAGAGCACATTTGCAAATCATGGACCTAATGCAGCCCCTGTCCAGGACCACCTCGTTGGTGGCATAACTTCCTATACAGCCCTGCCCATCGGAAGTCCAGGATGCCCTGGTTCTAGGCCCACAAGGCCTCAAGCTTGACTGTAGGCAGATCTGGGGTAGAATTTGGGGGATGTCATTTATGATCCCAGAATGAGTCCTCCCATGCATTCCTGAAAAAGACCAGGAGAAGGCTGGGCGCAGTGGCTCATGCCTATAATCCCAGCACTTTGGGAGGCCAAGGCAGGCAGATCACAAGGTCAGGAGATCAAGACCATCCTGCCCAACAGGGTGAAACCCCATCTCTACTAAAAATACAAAAGTTAGCCAGGCGTGGTGGTGGGCGCCTGTAGTCCCAGCTACTCAGGAGGCTGAGGCAGGACAATCACTTGAACCAGGGAGGCGGAGGTTGCAATAAACCGAGATTGCACCACTGTACTCCAGCCTGGGCGAAAAGAGCAAAAACTCCATCTCGAAAAAAGAAAAAGACCAGGAGAGAGAGGGGTTCCTAGCCCAGAGGGCTCTCACCAGCAGCTCAGGAGTTAAAAACATGGGCTTAGAAAGCTCTAAGTTCAAATACTTTTCCACCGCTTACTAGTGGTGTGTGCCGTCCAGCCTCCACTTTCACCTGGTAATTAGGAATAATACAATTTCCCACATTTAAAGGTTGTTTTGAGTTAAACGAAAAAATGCATGTAAAGAGCTTAGCCTGACCCAGCAAATGCTCAGTAAGTGGCTGTTGCTACCTGAGCCCTTTCTCTGGGGAAGATGTTTGCACCTGCCACAGCCTCTGCCCTCCTCATCCTTTCCCTCTAAGGCATCTCCCCATTGGAGACCACCTCCAGGCTTGTTTTCACCGTCCAGGCCTGGAACTCTTAGTCCTTCCAATCCTTTCCAAACATGTCACTTGGCATTCTCAGGGTGTTTTGGTAGCAGCAGCCACAGCTCACCCAGACGGCACACACTGTAGCTATTATCTAATCATCTAATAATTAGCTTGACATTTATAAAGGGCCTTGAGGGATAACTGCTTGGGGTAACTGCTGTTTTCAAATGCGATGGTACCGTAATTTTGCACCTGTGCCAGGCAAAATGTGAGCAAGAGGGAACAGTGACCCAAGCCTCTGCCTGCCCTCAATTGTCCTTAGTGTGTTTAAGTGGAAGCAGATTTACCCAGAAGCTAACAAAGCATAAGCGTCAAGACCCCTTACCTGCACGGTCCTGTGTTTTCTGTAAAGTTTGCAAAAGTAGCATACGTTTGCTTTTTTTTTTTTTTTTTTCTTAAAGAGGCACTTCAAAATTGTATGAGCTGCAGGTGCTACAAAACCTAACCCACTCCTGGGTTTAAATCAGAGCTGTCTCTTGGATCAGTCCTGCCTGGAAGCCTACTTTTCCTATTGTTGCCATCAAGAACTGGCAAATGGGTTTGGGGCAGAAGGTTAAGGAGGGGGCTGCACTGTGGGCTAAACATGGTGATTTGCTGGATCAGAATGGAGCCCCAGACTTTCCAGCATTAGGGATTCAGAGATCCCTGTTCTGCCACCTGCTGGCTGGAAGACTTGGGTGCCGCCACACAATCTCAGCCCAGGAGTCCTCCTCAGTAAACTGCCATTTAGAAGCCTGACCTGCCTACAGCACAGCCAGAGGTTACTATGAAGAGCAAACAAGCTCTCTGTCAATATGCTGAAGTGGCTGTTTGGTGGTGACTGCAAAAACACACAAAACATTGAGTTAGGACTTAAAAGGCCGGCAATAAACTCCCTCCCCAGCCCATGGCAAGTAAGTCATGCATGGAATGAGGTACATAGCTTGCATGTGCCTTACTCGACTAAGAAATAAAATAGGGAAAATACTCCCTAGCCCTTGTTAGTAGGAGCACAGGTTGTGAGAAGCGAAAGCAGTCATCTGCCTGGACACCTGGGGGGCCACAGTCTTCCCACTTCTACAGCCTCAGGCCTTTGGGAGTAGCCCCCAGGACAGATGACCAGGGAAAGGATATGGCTTTGGCCAGGACACGGAAGAGAGAGGTGAGAGTAGATAAAAGCTTCCACTGCAACAAGGGCAGGCTCTCATTATTGCTGTTAGTGGCCCCACCTCCCAGCTGGGCTCAGACCCCAATGCCCTCTGATACCTTCCCTTCTGGTTTCCCCACATCTGATTAGTTAAGTCCTAAAATCCCCACCCTCAGTATCTGTTGCTTCATCCCCTCCCTACTATTCCTACAGGCCATCTTCTATTTCTGTTCTGGACTATAGCAACAGACATCTAACACAGGGCTTCCAACAAATGGGATACAGGTATGCTAGGGTTTTATCTCCTTGGCCCTGGACACAACCAGATCAGGCTTGGGGAAGCTGGGGCCTCTGGACTAGCATCTTGCAGCCCCAGGAAGCCTCCTTTGGTACTCCCAATGCACATTGCACTCCCAATGCAAATGTCATCATTTTTATATTGCCTCTATGTGGAAAATTTGGGGAATGCTGACCTCCCAAGTGCCCCTTTCTGCCCACTCAGACGCATCCTGGGCACTGTGGCCAGGTTGATTTCCATGGAGTCCAACTATAATAGTGCAGTTCACCTTCAGAATGGCAAGATTCTGCATGGAATGACGGTTGCAGCAAGCCACACCTGGCCACAAGATCAGGTGAAAAGACCCAATGCCAGAGTCCTTCTCACAGCGTGGTCCTGTGAGTTGCAATGTGTGGAGAAACATAGTCTGGGAGCACAGCAGACTACACTCCTTCTCTTAGGTTGTGGTTCTCAGATTCTATGGTGTACATGCATCACCTGCTACACTTGTGAGAAATGCAGATTCCAGGGCCTCCTCCCTTCCCCCTCCCCACTCCCCAGCCCCTCACCAAAATTATAAACCAGGGGGTTTGCAACTAGTCCAAGAAATTTACATTTTTGAGAAGCATGCTGACTATGAATGCAGGTGTTGCACAAACCCTACTTTGGGAAACAGTGCCCCAGTGACCACAGCTAATTGCAGATTTCACCCAGTCAGCCCAAAAGATGAAACACCGCATATGGACAGGAATTAGCAGTAAAAAACTGTGTTTCAGCCTAAAACTTGAAACCAAATACGTCACTTGGAATAATTCCATAAGAATAAGAGATCATTAAAATACGGAAAGTGGTTGAAAGGAAGACCATCTGTGCAAACCAAAGCAGTTTCGAGGAACCAAAATAAGTTACTCAGACCCGAGAACATTCTCCCAGAAGGGCAAACCACATGAAAAATACAAAATGTAATCCTAAAGAAAAAGGAAAGTCTTGAGATTCTGGAAATAAATTATTTATAATCTATAACCAAAGCAGCCCATTGGGCAGAAAAATACAGCAAACTGCTCTCTACAGTGTGAGCAGATGGAAGACATTGAATACGCACATGACCAAATATGAATGGCACGAGTTCCTTCAGGGGGTTCCCAAAGTGGAGTGAACTTCATCAATGGCATTATCATCTGCGGTGGGGGAGATGCTTCAGCAACAATTCCAGCAGCTCCGGGACCTGTCCTGTCATTCAGCTGGGTGGTTCTACAGGCTGTCACTACCTGTTCTGATTCCCAGATGGAGGCATGGTCGGCTCACAAGAATACCATGAATGTATCAGGCAAGTGGCACTGAACATCTGAAATCCAGACTGACTTGAAAAATAGAGATTGCACGTTCACCATAATGTTGTGGGATGTTTGACCCTCAGTCAGCAGATTGCCATCCTCGTGGGTTATTCCTGCCATTTGCTCCTTTACTTCCTTTTGGCCACCGCATGAACCATTTAATCACACTTCAAAACTCTGCTCAGTATGTGGAGTGGAGCGGAGGGCTCAGGAACCATTCTGGGTGGTAACGGACTGTGATTAAATAGAGACCCAGCAGTGACTGCAGAGTCCTTTTAACCAGGACAAAGCTGTGGTTCTTCCCCTTTGCTTGGGGACAGTGGAGGCCAGAGAAGACCGGGAGATGGTTCTGGAAGGGGCAACTCCACCTGGTTTACTAGCACCTCATTTGGGCTGGTTCACACCCATGGGATGGGCGCTCACTCACACTGTTTCCCCAGAGGAAATGTAGGACTTCGCGACTCGCCTCAACCTGAGATCTCAGTGACCTGGATCAACAATGTTTCAGGGGGAGGTTGAGAATCAGCATAAAGAAGCAGTTAGCGACTAATATGGGTTGGCTCTGTGTCCCCACCCAAATCTCATCTCAGTTTGTAATCCCCATGTGTCCAGGGAGGGACCTGTAATCCTCACACATCAAGGGAGGGAGGTGATTGGATCATGAGGGGTGGTTTCTCCCATGCTGTTCTCATGGTAGTGAGTGAGCTCTCATGAGAGCTGATGCTTTTAAAGTGTGGCACTTCCTCATTCTCACTCACACTCTCTCCCGCTGCCTCATGAAGAAGGTGTCTGCTGCCCCTTCTGTCATGATTGTAAGTTTCCTGAGGCCTCCTCAGTCATGCTGAACTGTGAGTCAATTAAACTTCTTTCCTTTATAAATTACACAGTCTAGGGTATTTCTTCATAGCAGTGTAAGAATGGACTAATACAGAGATGGAACATGTTTTCAGCTTTTATGTGAGGCTCTATTTTTAACAAGGATGAAATACCTATCAGGGAAAGAAATACAAAAGCCTCAATGGGACCCTTTTAGAGGTACACTAAAAACACATCCTGATAAATGCAAAATGGCCAAGTTTTAAGATAAGCATTGAGCTGGAGCCAAATGTTGCTATCATAGATATCCTTTGGAATATAACAATAAGTAGGAAATTTTATTTAATTGAGTAATAAGCATTACCCTTTTATTATTAAAATATTTAGTGGTCAGATTTCTAGTCTGCCTTTATAGTGCAGGAATAATGATGTCTTAGCACGGTCTGCTGTGAGATTGCACCTTGCATTTCACTGGGTGCTGCATATTTACAACACTCACTAGACATCCATGCTCACTGAGACCTGCACACACTGCCAGTACAGGCTTCTCATGATGGTGATGTTTTCCATGTTATTAATCTTTCCTTTCTCTTGAACTCAAATAATTCCTTTTTAACTCCTTGATATAAAGAAGTCCCAACCAAGACTTCTTGAAAGCCTCATGGCACATATTAAGTTAAATAACTAAAAGTGAAAAGTAGCTCTTACAGGTTAATTCTCCCCACCTGGGCATAGGGTGTACCCCGAGACTGCTGCAAGGATCAGCCTACACACAGGCGCTCACAGGCTGTCAGAGAAGGGGTCTTGGAAGCTGTAAAAGTGTCAAGCCAGACAAACCATTGCACTCAGCGGAGCAGGGAACCCTAAGAGTTACAAGGTAGTTCAGGCTTTGACTTGATTATGTAACCAGCTGTCCTAGGCCCTGAATAGAGCCACTGATCATCAACTGACCAATGGTGATTCAAACGGACAAGTTTAAACTAAATATGCAAAATGCGTTGCTATACACGGAGAAGAAAGTGAAGGCAAAGGTGCTACGGCCAGAATGTGCCGAGCATGGGCAGCAGTGGTCATGGTGGGCTACCTGGAGGAGGTAGGGTATGTCCCAGACCTGAAGGATCCTGCAGGAGTGGGTTGACTGACTAGAGAGAAGAAAACATTGGCCGGGTGCGGGGGCTCACGCCTGTAATCCCAGCACTTTGGGAGGCCAAGGCAGGTAGATCATGAGGTCAGGAGTTTGAGACTAGCCTGGCCAATATGGTGAAACCCCGTCTCTACTAAAAATACAAAAATTATCCTGGCGTGGTGGTACACACCTGTAGTCCCAGCTGCTTGGGAGGCTGAGGCAGAAGAATTGCTTAAACCCAGGAGGCAGAGGTTGCAGTGAGCCGAGATCGCACCACTGCACTCCAGCCTGGGTGACAGAGCAAGACTCTGTCTCAAAAAAAAAAAAAAAAAGAAAAAAGAGAAAACATTGACCACTGATTCCTTTGCAATTCCTGACTAAATACATCCCTCAGAATTAAGCAACACAGTTTACTAAACTAGAAGACAGCCAAGGGAAGAAAGAGACAGTAACCTGGCCCTTGTGTCATTCATGAATTTTATCTCACAGGTGAAGATCCTGAAGCACATCATTCTGTGACTGCCCTGGGTCACATTGCTGGCTGATGGTAGGGTCAGATAAGCAGGGGCAATTCAGAGTCCCATAAGACCTCATGGCCCCAACATCTCTTGTAACACAAAAAAGCTGCCTTCCTTTCTCCTGCTAATAGGAGAGTTGGGTTTGGCTATATAATGAGGAGTTTGGCTTGGTTAGATTCTTTGAGCTGTCTCTGTTTTGTTATATTTTGTTTTGAAGGGTGATATGGTTTGGATATTTGTCCCCTCCAAATCTCATGCTGGAATGTGACCTACAGTGTCGGAGGTGGGTCTAGCAGGAGGTGTTTGGGTTATGGGGGAGGATCCTGCATGAATGGCTTGGTGCCCTCCCCATGGTAATGAATGAGTTCCCGCTCTATTAGTTCACACAAGAGCTGGTTGTTTGAAAGAGCCTGGCCTCTCTCCTGCTCCCTCTCTTTTGCTTCCCTCTCACCATGTGACGTATGCTTCCCTCTCACCATGTGACGTACCTGCTCCCCCTTCACCTTCTGCCAGGAGTAGAAGCTTCCTGAGGCCTCCCCAGGAGCAGATGCTGATGCCATGCTTCCTGTACAGGCTGCAGAGCCTCTTTATAAATTACCAGCCTCAGGTATTCCTTTATAGCAGTACACAACAGACTAACACAAAGGGGTTAGGGAAGGAGGGAAAGGGTAAAGAAATCACTTCGTTTTTTCCCTGGTGGTAGAACCTAGATGCAGGCAAGAAAACCTCCCTCCTGGGCCATGCCCCCGAGCAGCAGTGCCATGGCCCTCCCACATGGATCACGCTCCTGTTGCCACTAGAACAAGTTCCCACAACCTTAGCGGCTTAAAGCAACACACATTTACACCTTAGAGTCCCTTGGTCAGCAGTCTCACTGGGCATCAGCAGGGCTACGTTCCCTCCTGGAGCTTCTCAGGTAGATTTTGGTTTTTTGCCCCTTTCTGTATCCTCTTCCTTGTGGTCCCTTCCTCCATCTCCAAAGCCAACAATAGCTGGTTAGTTCCTCTCACATCACATCCCTCTGACCTGCTCTTCTGTCTCCATCTTCCACTTTTACAGACCCTTGTGATTATGCTGGACTCACCCACCCAAGCCAGGATATAATCTCCCAATCTTAAAGTCAGCCACAATCTCAATATCATCCACAACCTGAATCAAACATATTTACAAGTTTCAGGGATTAAGATGTGGACATCTTTGTGGGGCCCAGGCACTATTCCACATCACAACTGCTAAGGTCAGAGGATAGCATATATTTTATTTGACAATATCCTGACTTGGTTTATAATTTTAAGTATTTAGAGAGATGGTATGTGGCCTCCATTTGCACTGTTGCTCTAGGTCTCACAAATGTTGGGGGTGCTCTGGTGGGAGCAGCATTTGTCCCAAGGTGACTGTTGCCACGGCAGGTCTTAAGGCAGTGGGAGGCACCGAGTACTCAGCTTTGGCCAGCAGTTGCCCCCGCTGGAAGCAGTTTCCCAGGTGCCCCCAGCCCTTGGGCCTCTAGAGGAGCACATCATCTTCCTTATCTTATCTCTGCCTCAAACCCAATTCTCTGCCTCCCAAAACTTTGCTCTCCTTACAATGGCATTCGTCCCCCCAAAAATAAATTTCCAGTTCTTTTTGCCTTTTACTTTTACGTAAAAAAGGGAGACACAAGGAAAGAAACATCCTACTCATCCCAGCCCTAGTAGTACAGACACATCAAAGCATGCCAAGCCCTTCCGGAAATCAGAACATGGCTGACATCATCCTGCCCACATCGCTAAGCAACTGTGGGATCAACATCTGTTTCCATGGAGATGTCTCATCATCACCATTCGCCAGGCAGAGCTGAGAAGCGCACCAGGAGAAATGAATATGCTGGGCTGTGCCAGAGAATAACAAAACCCGGTGGCCGTGAGCAAAAAAGCAATCATGAGGGTGAAAGGAGGATGAGAGACGTGAAGAGGAGGAAGAGTGGGAGAATGGTGCTGAATGGGGTTCGGCAGGAAGTCACTGGCCAGAACCAGGCCAAGGTGGACATCACCAAGCCCAACCCTCTCATTGCCTGAGAGAACCCCAGTTTCAGACTGCTAATCCGTCTTGCCCAATGCTTCACAGGCCATGCTGGGGCCAGAACCCCAGCCCTGTGCCTCCTAGCCCAGGATTTGTCTCCTTTAGAATGAAGGCACTCAGGAGCAAGGATGCTCTGTCTCCTGTCGGTTCCAGGCAAGCACAGATGGTTCCTACTCCTTTTCCTCTACCCCTTGCTCTGGCCTGCCTAGCACAGTTCCTTCCGAGGATGGTGGCTCCTGCTCATCCAAGGCACCCGCTGTCTCTGTAAGGCGTGGCCTCTGATGTGAAAGTGGTGGAGGGCAATGGAAGGGAACTGACTTTACTGAGTGCTCACTATGTACCAGGCACTGTGTCTCATGTTGATTATAGGCCATCTCTGTTCTTCCCCAAATTCCTCCTGTGAGCACGAGAATCTCATTTAACAGGCAAGGAACTGAGGCTCCTCTGAGTTCTTATTCAATATAATGATAAGAAGAGCAAACACTTAGAAATCATGTACTGTGCACTGGGCATTGTTTGAATCTTTTTCAGATATTAATTCATTTCATCTGCACACTGAGCTGTGAGGGGAGGAGTATCATCTATCATTTAAGTAGATGGCAGGGGGAGGATTTGAAGCCTGGGGTGACCTTCGCACTGCAGTCCGCTGACCCTACTGTCCTCACTGAAGAGAACGGCTCAGGAAGTTCAAGTCAGGCACACAAGAATGAGCTGATGATGGACTGGATGTTGGAACAGGAAGCCAAGTGGGATTTTTCCTTGTGTCTCAGAATTGCAGCCAGTGGCCAAAGCTGACAGTGAAAAGCACTGAAGACCCAGCAATCCTGAGTTCAGAAATCCACCTGCAGTGGTGCCAGCTCCCACCTACAGACCCAGGGAGAGATCTGTCTCCCAGCAAATGCCAAGTGCTCTGCCTGCCTTCCCACTGGCAGTGTTAGTTAGAAGAGGCAAGGCCTCCTAGGGAGGGCGGGGGTTGTGGTGAGAGGCTACCCCCCTGTGGCCCCGTGAGGTCTGAGATTCCCTTGTTCCTGGGGTGTCTGCAGCAAGGGAGGCCAGTGGCTGGTTCCCAGGCTGCGCTGGTGTTCAGCGAGCCGCAGACCCAAAGCCAGCTGTGGAGCTGTGGTAAGAGCCTCGGGCGCATTCTGGGAATATGTGTCTGACACAGGGCCTCCCCCACTGTGGGGAAGAAGAGGACCCATGGCTGGCTCCCTTGACATTTTGGGGTTCACTTGGACCCCGAGATCAGTGCCTACCTCTGGTCTAGAGATTTCCAAAGGCAAAGGCCTGGTTGATGTGGCCTTGGCCAGCAGGGCTCAGAACAACAGAGACGGATGGTGTTTCTGAGAGGAACACTGGGCAATCCCACCCAGTACCCATTCTTCTAGCTCTCAGAGAGTCCAGATGAACACCCTAGAAGGTCCCTGGGGTCTATGTAAAGGGTCCCTGGGTTCTATGGAAAGGGATCCTGGGGTTAGCACAGAGCAGGTGCCGCATAGGCCACTGGGGCAAGTAACGGCACTCCCAACCCAGGGAGGGATTTGTGGGTGCTCATTTGCTGTCAGGGCTAAAGGTAGACACAGCTGCCCTCTGGAGGAGTGTGGGACTCAGCTACAGAGTGGACCGTGGGGAGCTGACCACGAGCCCCAGAAAACCTTGTGCACCATCTATGCAGAGAAGACCACCTCATCAGCACCACCAGCACTGGCCAGAACCAAATGAAGCCAGGGACACCAGGGAGAGACAGAGACAGAGATGACAGAGACAGTATGTGGTCTGCAGCACTTGAAATATTTTCTATCAGATGTTTACCAAAAAAGTTTGCCAACCTTATTTGTAGCCTGATTGGGTGGGGGTGCAGCTATAAAAAAGGTACAGCGTTCACATTTTAAATTCTATATAAATCCTTTTGTCACTTGTTTCTTTCACTCAGCATTATGTTTTTAAGACACCACTACTGTAAGTGAATATATTACAGTTTATTTATTCATTTTCCTAAGTGATAAATATTTAGGTTGCTTTCAACTTTTTGCTATAAAACTGCTAGAAACATTCTTGTTCATGTCTCCTTGTGCCCATGGGTAAAGTTTCTTGGAGATATATACTTACAGGTGGAATTACTGGGTCAGGGAATATAGACTGCTCCAACTTTATAAACTGTTGCCAAATTACTCTCCAAAAATGTGGTATCAATTTATGCTTCCACCATCAGTATTTTCAAGTTCTCTTTACTCCATGTCTTCATTCCACTTGGTATTGTCAGCATTCAGAATTTTTACTAATCTAATCATGTGAAAAGAATATCTCATTATGGTCTTAATTTGCATTTGTCCAGACACAAAGAGGATGTGCTTCCTCTTCTGTTCATATCTTTTGTTCATTTAGGGAGTTATTTATTTCTAGGCATTCTTTACATATTCTGCATATGAATTCTTTTTTAGTTTTATGGATTGTAAATATTGTCTCCCAACATGTGGCTTGTGTTTTGCTTTGATTTTGATGTTTTGTGAGCAATAGAAATGTTTTATTTTAATGTAGTCAATTCTCAACCTTTTTCTAAAGTTTATAACCTCTGTGTCTCTTTTAAAAGATTATTTCCTGCAGATGCCTGTAATTCTAGCACTCTGGGAGACTGAGGCAGGAGGATCACCTGAGCTCAGGAGTTTGAGACCAGCCTGGGCAACATAGGGAGACCCCCATATCTACAAAACATTTTTTAAAAATTAGCCAACCATGGCACACACTTGTGGACTCAGGTACTCTTGAGGCTGAGGTAGGAGGATTGCTTGAGCCTCGGGAGGTCAAGGCTGCAGTGATTTGTGATTGCACCATTGCACTCCAGCCTGGGCAACAGAGCAAGACCCTGTCTCAAAAAGGAAAATAAAATAAATTATTTGCTGGCTCAATTTGATATAAAATTATCTTATGACACATTTTTAAGCTCTGCTTTTCCCATTTGAATCTCTAATCCATCTGGAAATTATTTCTTCATGCCTCAGTAAATAAACATTATTATTTTTTCATTGAGATAACCAAATATTACCATCATTTGCCATTGACTTTTAGTGACATTTCTGAAATATGTTTAGTTTCCATTTGACTATTGATCTATCCGTGTGCCAATACCACACTGCTGTAATTTACTATATGTCTTTATATCTGGTCGGAAGAGTTCACCCATTCCTCTTCCAAACACCTTTGAAATTTTTGGTCCTTTGTTCATCCAATTAGATTCTACAATTGACTTTCAGGTTCCATAAAAAACAATTAGATTTTTGTTAGGATTGCATTGAAAACATAGACTAATTAGGAGATAATTAACATTGTTATATATGTACTTCTTCCACCTGTGAGCATGATGTATCTCCCCACTTATCATGTCTTCTTTGGTACCTTACAATAACATTTTTTTTTTCATAAAAATCTTGCACAACTTCTACTAGATTTATTTCTAGGTAAAAACTTTTTTTTTAATTTTTTATGCCATTTGTAAGAGAATGGATAGCTGTCCACCACAACTCTATACCCCTCTTGGATTATGTGAAGTTGCTGCTGGAGGCAACTGCACAGCCAGAGGCTGAATACCTCATCCCTCCTGGTATCCAAGTGTGGCCATGGCATTAGTGGTCCCTGAGGAATGTGATCAGAAAAGCAAATGGGTCCTGCCCTCTGGTCCCTCCCATGGCCATATGGTTGCAGAGGACTTCAAAGTGTTAGAGGGCAGCCAAGAGAGGGAGAGGAACCTAAGTCTCTGAATCACCAACAACCAGGAACACCCACTTTGAAACTTCTATGTATTACACAGAGGACTGAAGTCTGATACGGCACTTGGCTCTCTAAGTAATACACTATTTGGGTAGAGTTTTAACTTAAAAATTATCTTTTCTGGCCAGGCGCAGTAGCTCATGCCTGTAATCGCAGCACTTTGGGAGGCTGAGGCAGGCAGATCACTTGAGGTCAGGAGTTCAAGACCAGTCTGGCCAACATGGTGAAACCCCCGTCTCTACTAAAAATACAAAAACTAGCCAGACATGGTGGTGCAAACCTGTAGTTCCAGCTACTCAGGAGGCTGAGGCAGGAGAATCACTTGATCACGGGAGGTGGAGGTTGCAGTGAGCCAAGATTGTGCCACTGCAGTCCCCCTGGGCAACAGAGTAAGACTCTGTCTCAAAAAAAAAAAAATTATCTTTTCTACTCAATGTTGTCAGTGAATTTAAAAAATACATATAAGTGGCTGGGGGCGGTGGCTCACGCCTGTAATCCCACCACTTTGGGAGGGCGAGGCAGGTGGATCACGAGGTCAGGAGATCAAGACTATCCTGGCTAACACGGTGAAACCCCGTCTCTACTAAAAATACAAAAAAATAGCCGGACGTGGTGGTGGGCGCCTGTAGTCCCAACTACTCCGGAGGCTGAGGCAGGAGAATGGCGTGAACCCGGGAGGCGGAGCTTGCAGTGAGCCGAGATTGCCTCACTGCACTCCAGCCTGGGTGACAGAGCGAGACTCTATCTCCAACAAACAAACAAACAAACAAAATATATATATGTATTTTGTGTACATTTGTATATTTTTATATTAAGAAAACATGCTGAAGTGTCTAATAATTTCTATCCTCAGAGTCTGTGTACAGAGTCGTGTTATCTGTGAAAACGATAACTTTGTTTCTTCCTATTCTCTTTTAATATACTTGCATTTCTTTTTCTCATCTCCATCCTTTGGCCAGGACCTGCCTTTCTCTCTTCTCCCAGTATAACAGTAATCTTTCTCATGTTTCACCATTAAGTATGAAGTTGTCTAGGATTAGGGATGGATGCTATCTGTTGAGTTAAAGGAATTTCTTTCTACTCATAGGTACCCAATCATTTTTATTAGGAATGGATATTGAATCATAGCAAGTGCTTTTACGGCATCTATTGAGGTAATACATACATTTTCTCTTTCATCCATTCATGTAGTGAATGAATAGATAATCTAATGTTAACTCATCTTTACAATCCTGGGCTAACCTTGGTGATGAAGAATTTCTTTTATACATTAATTAGTTTCTTTATATCATAATTTGTTTAAGATTTTTGCACTCAGGTTCGTAAGTGATGTTTAACTATAATTTTATGTTTTCTTGTTTTCAGGATGGTTTTGCTAACTTTATTAAATGAGTTAATTTAAGGAGCTAATCTCATCTGTTTCTCATCTCTAGGACAGTTTATATTTTTAAAAGTGTATATCTAGTCCTGAAATTTTATAGGGGAAAGGAGAGAGAATGACTAGCCTATTAAGCCATCTGGTGAGAGTTTCTTCTTACTTTTATTAGGTAATTATTTAATTTATTTAAATGTATATTCAGATTTTATATTTCTCCTTGAATAATATTTTTAATATTTTCTCCAAGATGTCTATTTTGCCTAAAAGTTAAATTTATTCCCATAAAATTGTCCATACTTATCTTGTGTTTTAAGAAACTCTACATTTTTGTGTTTTTTTAATATTGTTTATTCATGCCTCCTCCTTTTTTTTCCTTGATAAGTCTTACTGGAGACTTTTCCACCTTATTCATCTGTTCAGATAACCAGCTGTGGGCTTGACTGATTTTCTCTAATGTACATTTTAATTTCATTGTATTCATTTCTGCTCTTAATGCCATAGTTTCCTTCCCTGTACTCTCTATTTGGATTTACACTGTGGTTCCTTTTCTTGTTCTTAGGTTGGATATTAGCATATTAATTTTTTGTCTTCCTAACTTGTTAATATCAATACTACATATCTCTGTCATTTCCACCTTAGCTGGATTCCACACCTTTTTTTAACCATAATATTTTTACTTAGTTCAGTTCTAAGAATTTTGTACTTTCCATTATAATTTTTTAATCCATGACTTACTAGAGGTGTGTGTGTGTGTGTGTGTGTGTTAATTTAAAAATGTGTGAGGAGATTTGTGTTATTTTTTATCACTGATTTCTAATTTAATTTTGTTGTGGCCAGAGAATATGGTTGGTATGATACTGATCTTAAGAAAGTGGTTGAGACTTGTTTGCCTCATTCATAGATAATTTTTGTAAATTTTCCGTATAGATAAATGGATATATGAATGGATGGATGGATGGGACAGATAGATAGACAGACAGACAGACAAATGGAGAATGCTATAATTTGTTATAAGGGAATTTGAGAAAAAATGTGTATTTTCTAATTGGTGAATACGAAATTCTTCATGCATCTGTTTAAATCAAGTTTGTTACTGGTGCTGTTCATTCCCCAATATCCTTACAGGAGTTTAATGATTTAACAATGATGAGATATGCTGAAGTGCTAAAGGAACTCGCTGTGAATTCAGATTTCTCAATTCCTCTTTTACGTGCACTTAGGCTATGTCTATCTTTTCTTGTAGTGCTATAGCTAGATAAGATTTCTTTTTGTTAGCGTTTCATTGGTATATATTTTTCCATCCTTTTACCCTTTGGAGTTCTTGGGCTTTTTAGTATGTTTTTTGGAGTCCTTAAGTTTTTTATATGTCTCTTGTCAACAAAATATAACAGACTGTTGTTTCCTTGTTTCAAACAGTCCAACAATTTCTATTTAAACTAGAAAGTTTAGTCCATTTACATTTATTGAGATGATTAATAAATTCAGATTCATTTCTAGCAAAGGCATGTTGGTTTCTCTATATATTGCTTTTTAATTTAACTTAGTTTTGTTTTTTCAAAGTTTATTGAGATATGATTGACATACAATAAACTGCACAGATTTAAAGTATACAATTTGATAAGTTTTGACATATGTATAAACCCATGGAGCCATCAGCACAACCAAGATAATGAACATATCTATCATTCTCCTGAGGCTTTCCTATTCCCTATTGTGATTTCTCCTTCCTTCCCTCCCCAGGCTCCATCCCTGAGCAAACACTGATCTGTTTTCTATCACTATAGATTAGCTGGTATTTTCTAGAATTTCAGATATATGTAATTATGAAATATGTACTCGATATTGTTTAGCTTCTTACATTCAGCATAATTACTTTGTGGTTGGCCATGTTCATTCGTTTTTATTGCTGAGCAGTGTTCTATTATGTAGATATTCTTTAATGTGTGTATCCGCTCACTTGTTAATGGGCATTTATTACAGATAAAACTGTTATGCACATTTGTGTACAAGTCTTTGTTACAGACATATGTTTTCATTTCTCTTGGTAAATACTTGGGAGTGCAATGGCAAAGTCACATAAGAGATATGCTTAACATCTGAAGAAATTGTCAAGCTGTTTCCCAAAGTGGTTATACTATTTCATATTCCCATAAGCTGTGTATAAGAGTTCTACTTTCTTCCACATTTTTACTAAAACTTGGTAGGGTCAGTCTTTTTAATTTTCTCTTTTCTAATAGATGTGTAATGGTATTTCACTGCAATGATTTTAATTTCACTGCAATGACTTTACTTTGCATTTATAAAATAGTGATTTTAATTTGCATTTACCTAACTACTGATGATGTTGAGCATCTTTCCTTTCCTTTTCTTTTTTTTCTTTTTTTTTTTTTGAGGCTGGAGTGCAGTGGTGCAATCTCGGCTCACTGCAAGCTCCGCCTCCCGGGTTCACGCCATTCTCCTGCCTCAGCCTCCGGAGCAGCTGGGACTACAGGCGTCCATTACCACGCCCCGCTAATTTTTTGTATTTTTAGTAGAGATGGGGTTTCACTGTGTTAGCCAGGATGGTCTGGACCTCCTGACCTCGTGATCCACCTGCCTCGGCCTCCCAAAGTGCTAGGATTACAGGCATGAGCCATCACGCCCGGCCAAGCATCTTTTCACGTGTTTATTTGCCATCTATCTATCTTCTTTGGTAAAGTGTGTGTTCAAGATTTTTGCCCATTTTAAATTAGGTTTTTAGTTTTATTATTGAGTTTTGAGAGTTGTATATATTCTGCATACAAGTCCTTTATCAAATCTTTGCTTTGCAGATACTTTCCTCCAACCTGTGGCTTTTCTTTTCATCCTTTTCACAGTATCTTTTTAAATGCAGAGGTTTTTAATTTTGATGAAGTCAGGTGTGTTAATTCTTTCTTTCATGGGTTGTGCTTTTGGTGTCATATTTTTTAAAGTCTTTGCCTAACTCAAATTTACAAATATTTTCTCCAATGTTTTCTTCTAGAGGTTTTATAGTTTTAAGTATTACATTTAGGTATATGATCCATTTTGAGTTAATTTTTAGATATAATGACATACATGAATTAAAGTTTATTTGTTTGTTGTGTGCAAATGCATATCCATTGTTCCAGTACCACTGAAAAGTAGAGACCTTATTCTCTGTCTATTTAATTTTGGATAATTTCCGTTACTGTCTTGAAGCCCTCACTCACAACTCTTTACCATGACCTTCGGTCAAGTACTTTTGAAACAGAATAGGGGAAGAAGATGACCTTTCTTAATGGCAATAGGTTTAAAACTTGGGTAATTCACTCCCACTGGAGGACAGGCACAAAACTCCAGCCACTTCCCAGACCCTTCTCTTTTACAAGGAAAAAGCCTTAAGATACTGGAAGGACAGGAAATCAAGGGCCCAGGCAAAAATCACTTTCCCTGGCTGAAGGTAAAAGGAAAGGCCATTTGACATGGGAGGAGGGGTTGGAAACTCTTCTGCTCCTTGTCTGCTACTGGTGAGTGGCAAGAAACCCACTCAGTCCCAGGATTCTGCACTGATAAAAAGCACAGGTCTGATATCACTGGAGTTGGGACCATAGTGAGGCAGGCAGCTCTCCCCTGTCTAAGATGCCCCACAGGCATGAGGCAAGGTATAGATGCCACAAAAGGGAGAAGCAAGAATAATGAGGGCCAGGTGCACGGAGCCTGCCTAAGACTAAGAGTAAATGAGAAAAATGGAGAACCCCACCTGCCCCCAGTATGAGCCTTGTGCTGAGTAATGAGCAATAACAGAAAAACATAGAGAGCTCCCCTCTGTGGTGGAGGCATGCAAGTCCCCCTGAAAGCTGAGCAGGAAGTAGAAACACTGATACAAGACAGCAGCAACCCACCACTGGAGGAATTTGAAGTATGTGTTGCCCTGAAGTAAGTTATTACAACTACAAAACTAAAACCCAGCACAGCTACTGATTTTAATTGACTCGACCCCCCACACTAACAGCCTGGCAGATGCAGAGGGATACCTACTTCCTGGCATAAACACAAGTTACCTCAATCTTTACTGTTATTCACACACAGTGTTTGGAACACAGTTTTTAAAACTACAAAGACACGCTCATACACACATTTACGAGACACACAAAAAAGCCAGAAAATAAACAACCTATTGTAAAGAGATAAAACAACTCACAGAACCAGACCCAGAGACAGCACGGATGCTGGAACTATCAGGGGCTTTAAAATAATTATGATTAGTTGGTGGAAAGGGGTCTAGTGGAAAAGGTGGACAACGTATGTGAACAAATGGAGAATTTCAGCAGAGGTAGAATTATAAAAGAGAATCAAATAGAAATGCCAAAAATAAAAAAAAAGATACAGAATTTCTTTGATGGCTTTTAAGCAGACTGTATGTAACAGAGGAAAGAAACAGTGAACTTAAAGATAGGTCAATCAATGGAAACTATCCAAATTGAAACACAAAGAGGCAAAAATGGAAACAATAAAATAACAATTGAGAAGAGCATCCAAAAGCTGTGGACAATATCCATATCAATGATCTAACACTGGGATCCCAGAAGAAAAAGAGAGCCAGGGCCAGGCGCAGTGGCTCATGCCTGTAATCCCAGCACTTTGGGAGGCCGAGGCAGGTGAATCACCTGAAGTCAGGAGTTCGAGTTCAGCCTGACCAACATGGTTAAACTCTGTCTCTGCTAAAACTACAAAAATTAGCTGAGTGTGGTGGTGGGTACCTGTAATCCCAGCTACTCAGGAGGCTGAGGCAGAAGAATTGCTTGAACCAGGCAGGCAGAGGTTGCAGTGCACTGAGATCGTGCCACTACACTCCAGCCTGGGCAACAGAGTGAGAATCCGGCTTCAAAAGAAAAAGAAAAAGAAAAAGAAAAAAAAGAAAAAAAGAGTGAAAAGAGAACTATTTGAATATACAATGTCTAAGAACTTTCCAAAATTAATTCAAAGCAACAAACCATAATTCCATGAATCTTAGCAAACCCCAACAAGAATAAATAAAAACAAAACAAAACTTAAGCTCATCATGGTCAAACCACTGAAACCCAAAGATAAAGATAAAACCTTGAAAACAACCAAAGAGGAGGGTAATCATGCAAACAGGAGAAAAGATTAGAATTATAGCAGATTTTTAATCTCTGCAAACCAGAGCTAGAAAAACATCTTTAAAGTGCTGGGGAGGGCAGGGGCAGGAAACCAAAAACCTGTCAGTTCATAATTTTATAGCCAGCAAAAATATCTTTTTAAAACAAAGGCAAAATAAATACTTTTTCAGGCAAAGAAACCTGAGAGAATTCATTACCCGCAGGTCTTCACTATAAAAACTTGTAAAGGAACTTTTGCAGACAGAAGGAATATATCAAATGGAAACTTAGATCTCCACAAAAAATGAAGATTGCTAGAACTGGTAAAAATGGGGATAAATAGAAAAGACGTTTTGTTCCTTTTAAAAGTCTCTTTACAACAGGTAAAATATATGACAAAAATAGCATAAAGAATGGGAGGGAGGAAATGGGATTACACTGTGCTGAGCTTCTTAAACTACATGTTTAATGGTATAATATTATTTGAAGCTGTTTATTGTGAACTCGAGAGCAGGACTATAAAAACGAAAGGAACAATGGAGATGTGAGTCACAAGTCAAAATATAAAAATCTGTTCTGACAATATATAGTTAATACAATTATTTTAAGTGAAGAAGAGGGGTAAAAAATATTGGAAACAAAGTAAGTTTTGCTAATTGCCTTCTCTGTAACATGTGATAATTAAAAAAACTGGTTAGGCAATAGAAGTATGTGCATATTTAACCTGGTGAAGATAAATGCAAAAAGATAATTTCATTAACCAGGAGAGCATGGTAGAGGAAAGGGAAAAGGAAGCATGCTAGTTTTATTCTTGTTTATAGAAAAGAACTAATATATTCTGCCTAAGGAAAGCTAAGGCCATACATAAAGCTTTAATCTTAAAGGTAAATACTAGAAAAACAACAACAATTCACCTTCTTAACATGAGAAGAACCACACACACAAAAAAAAGGACAAAGGGAAAAAAGAATAAAAGAATAAATAAAAGAATAAAAGCCACAGGGTAAAAAACTAAAAGATAAGTAAAAATTAAAAGTAAAAACAAGAAACATGATATAAAATTATATGACAAGGCTAAGCATGGTGGCTCACACCTGTAATCTCAGCACTTTGGGAAGCTGAGGCAGGCAGGTTACTTGAGACCAGGAGTTCAAGACCAGCCTGGCCAGCATGGTGAAACCCTGTCTCTACTAAAAAAAAAAAAAAAAAAAAAAAAAAAAAAAAAAAATTAGCTAGGCATGGTGGGGCACACCTGTAATCCCAGCTACTTGGGAGGCTGAAGCAGGAGAATTGCTTGAATTTGGGAGGCAGAAGCTGTAGTGAGCTGAGATTGGGCCACTGCACTCCAGCCTGGGCAACAGTGAGACCCTGTCTCAAAAAAAAAAAATTATATGACAAAACCCTAAACAAATGTATTTGTCATATCTATAAATGTAAATGTGCTAAATTCACCTCTTAAGAAGATTTCAGATAGACTCATAGAGCAAAACCAAACTCTGTGCACCATGCAAAAGGCATACCTAAAACCAAATGATTCAGGAAGGCTGAAAATAAAAGAATGGGCAATGTCACACTAGGTAAATGCCAAGATGAAAAAAATCAAGATTCATGAAGTTAATGTAAGGAAAGGGAGGGTTCAGAAATCACTATACAAGACAAAGACACTTTATAATGCCAAGGGTTGTAATTTACAACTCAGATGTAAGAATTATGAACATGGCAGTCAACACAGTAGCAAATTTTATATAGTAAGAATTATGGAAAAAATCGGGAGAAATTGATAAACACACATAATAAGAGATTTAAATTTATGTCTCAGTCTAGGGCAGATCAAGAAAACAAACAAAAAGAAATAGGTCAAGTTATAGTCAACCTTAGTAAGATCACAGGGCAAGTACTGTATCCTAATAATAGAGAACACACCTTTTCAATGCCAAGTGAAGATAAACACTCATGAAAACCTTACATTAAGCCACAAAGAGAACCTCAATAAATAGTCTAGTCACAATAAATGTAATAAAATTAAAAATGAATAACAATATAATAAAAACATTCTTTTCATCTGAAAATTAATAAACTCCTTTCTAAATTAATAAACTCCTTACTCTTAGGGTAAAGGGGAAAATAGAAACAAATAGAATTAAGTGTGTGTATTAAAATAATAAAGTACACACGTTAAATCCAATGAGGATATAAATAAAGCAGTGCTCAGAGGAAAAATCAGTAAAAAAAAAAAATAATAAAACAGGTGAATAAGATTCAGTTCAGAAAGAGAAAAACAGCAGGAAGGAAAATATAAAAACAAAGTAATTAATTTGATAACAGAGAAACATAGTACCAATACATAAATCCAAAAGCTGGTCCTTTGAAAAGAGTAAATTGAGAAATGAAAAAGAAGATACAAATAACAAAGAAACAGGCGGAGTAAACATAGAAAGGAAAATTAAAATAATCATATGAAACCACTTTGCATGCTATTAAGTGAATATATCCTAAAACCTGATATAATGGAAGTCAATTTGGGCTGGTAAGAGAAAAAAATTAGATAAATTAAATTGAGCAGTGTATTTGAACAAATAATGATTCATGAATTAGGCAGTCCTCAGAACCAGGAGAGGTTCAGAGAGCTACACTTGGCAACGTGAGCAGGCAGTATTTACAGATAGAAAAAGGAAGTGACACACAGAACGCTTGACTGATTACAGCTGGGCATTTGCCTTATAAGGACATGATCTGATCAGTTGGTAGCCTGTGATTGGCTGAAGCTCAGCTGCTCTAACTGGCTGAAACTCAGCTATTTGTTACAGGAATATACTCTTAGTGAAGTTGCAGTTTGTTTACATACAAAGTTAAGTTGCAGTTTGCTATGTATGAACTCAAAGTAGGAAGGCAGCCTCAGGCCAAATTTAGTTCAATTTAACAGGGCTCAGAGGGGTTGCATGAGTAACTAGTAGAGCCAAGACTGTATCCCAGTCTTGTGACTCCCAAGTTAAAGTTTCTCAAGCACGTCCACTGTCTCCTGCCTGCAGCTTCCTTGGACAACGGCTGGGAGATCTGGATCCTGTCTAAGGTCTGCAGGAGGGGAAACTGGCAGAAAAGACTGGCTCTGGATTTGTAGAGCTTGTGAAAAAAACCATCCATCATTGGCATCAGGGACCAAGAGGCCTAGCTAGACAGAGTCCTCCCTCTTTTTGGAAGCCCCAGCCTGCCCATCAGGATCATCCAGCACACAGTGCACACCACCCCACAGCTTTCTGGCTCTACTGGACTCTGACTTCTCCCCTTACTCAGCCTGGACTGCATCTTTCATCTGTCTGGGGTCCTCAGGACAGCACTCACTTCTGCCACTTTCCCACCTCGTCCACTTCGAATAGCCAGATCCCAGCCAGCTGTAATGCAGGCCATGCCTCCTCAAGAAATTGATACAGCACCCAAGAGGTGAGGGGCAAACCAGCATCCCCAAACCCAAGTGTGGAGTCCACCCAACAGAGAGTGGGCTTGAAGAGAGCTGGAATGTGGATCAGCAGCCCATAAGGATGCAAAATCAAGGCCAGGCTGACAGACACAAAAGATACCCCCCATATTGGGTTCAGTGGAAGAGAGAGTTGTGGAACAATGCGATTAGTATAATCTACTCTGTAAACTTTTTTTGCTCATTGTAAAAGCAGGATGATGGGGGAGAGACAGGAACACATGAAGTGAAAATATATTTTCCTATCACCCAGGAATCCCCAGCCTCTGTTTCTAGGAGTCAAGCTCAATTTTCATGTCTGGTATATTCTTATTTTTCCAAAGTTATTCCATGTATGAAATAGCATGTAAATGTTTATAAATAGGTTACACATACACATACATTATATTAAAATTTAACACCAAATGGAGCCATTCATTAATGTGTTCATTCAGTCTTCCATTTTAAATGGATTCAATGCCAAAGATCCGACAATGAGCAAAACTAGAGCCAGTCCTTGCTCCCACACAGTCTAGTGTGGATACGACCATTAAATATCCACACAAAGGAAGGTATAATTAGAAACTGAGATCCAGTGAGGAAACACATGTGAAAGTCTCAACAGTGAAGCTTCCCACAGTGGCAGCCACAACTGTCATTGTTTAAGAGGCAGTTACCAGCAAGCTGGGCATCCCAGACCTGGCCATAGATGCATTCTCTTCAGGCCTCTACTCTGCTTCTGATTGAGAACCAGAGCTGTGACTCACTGCCCTCCACCATCTGCTGGAGGGGCTCAAATGACTCAGCCCCACCCCACCCCACCCCATCCCCCAGGAATGCTTCAGAGGAGCAAGAGACGAAATTATTCCGTGTGACTCAGGCCCAGCCTGGCCCACACCCTCTGCCCGTCTGTGCCTGAGAAGCAGTGGTGGCCATCGCCGTGCCCCTGAAGGACACATATTTTCAGGTAAAGAATGTGCTTAGGAAGATTGTCTTAGCCTGTTTGGGCTGCTACAACAAAAACGCCACAGACTGGGTGGCTTAAATGACACACATTTACTTCTTACAGTTTTGGAGTCTGGGAAGTCCAAGATCCAGGCAGATTCAGTGTTGGCTGAGGAACCACTTCCTGGCTCAGAGGTGGCCATCTCCTCGCTGTGTCCTCACATGGCTGAAGGGGTGAGGGGTTTCGCTGGTGTCTCCTTTATGAGAGGACTAATTCCATTCATGAAGGCTCCACCCCAACCTTATGACCTAATCACCTCCCACCTCTACATACCCTCACATTAGTGAATACCATGTTAGGATTTCTACATACAGATTTGGGGAGGAAACAACTCCAGAAAGGAATCCTCACAACACAAGCTGTGATGAATGTCTCAGGGTGGGAGCTGAGCTTGCCAGTGGAGCAGTGAGGAACCATGGCTCCCTTCCACCTCCTCCCTTAGCAGGGCCCTTCTGACCACACCTGTCCCCATGAATGTCATCTCTGCAGAGAATCACAAATCTGAGTCTCCAGTCTCTGCCCAGAACCTCAAACTGCACACGCCAGAGCAGGGCCAACCATCCCCTTCCAGAGCCTAGCACTGCCTCGCACATCTACCTCCTTGAATGACTCTACCTTCTGCTCTGAATCCTAATCTTGAAATCCTGGAGTTCACTTCAGCTCCTTCTCCCTCTTCTTCACTCTCCTCACCTAATCCATGATCAAAGCCAGTCACACTTCTGAATTTCTTCCCAATCTGCCCTTTCCTTGCTTCCCCTGCTTTGGCCTTCTGGATATCTCGTTTTCCACAAGGACTCTTTCAAGAACACCTCACTGGCCTTACTGACTCCAAGCTACAGACTTCTCACTGTGCTCAAAATATTTTCCTAAACACAATGAGGCAGGAATTTCCCACCATCCATTGGCATCGCTGGCATCTCCTCAGGGTCTACAGTAGAGACCACAAACTCCATGAAGGGCAGGTAGATGACCAAAGGGTTGCAGGCCAGGTTGAGTTGATAAAAGGGCCACCACAGGGAATGGGGAGGACTGGGGCAGATTGGAGGATGCTTGTCCTGCTTAGGAGCAGCCACCGCCCAGCTATAGCTAAGTATAGCTGCAAGAGAATGGAGACCCCAAATTGCCAGACCTTTTAGACTTTCACAAGATGCAAGAACCCAACTTTGTCTATGAAATCTCTTTATTTATAAAAGTTGGTAACTAATTCACATGTAAAATACTCTCAATAATTTCCTTATTCCTGCCATTTTGGGCCCTCCCTGGTCTGGGTTTACGTACATTTCCAGCACCATCCTCCCTGCTTATGGCCAAAACCATGCCACGCTCCAGGACACTAGGCTCTTTGCCATTCCCAGGACATGGCTTGCCTGGCACATTCCATCCCCTTCCTTGCAGATGCTGTTCCCTGTACTGCACTGTGCTATCCCTTCCATGCCTATCCAAATCCTACCCACCTATGAAGGGTCACCTCACTTCCACCTCCTTCAAGGACCTGTCCCATAGGCCTGAGACCAATGACTCCATTCCGCTCCACTTTGTGCTTCCCCTGCATGTTGTACCCCTGCCCCAGTGCAAGACACAATCTGACCTGTTTATCATCAGCTGTGCATGCACCCATCACCCACACGGTTGGAAACAAGAGTGCAGACATTGTGTCTTAGTCACAAAGCCTGCACACAGTAGGTGAACTAGAGACATTTCAGGAATGCTGCTAAGTAGAATTTAGGAAAGGGGACTGATGCCACAACAGAGCATGGACTTGGGAATTTGGGGTGTCCATGTCTTTGCACAAGTAGGGTCTTGTCCGCCTGAACTTCCTGATCTGCACACCCAACGTCCCTGAAGCCTCCAGCCCCTCTCCCACCCCAGCTTGTGTGAGGTGGAGCCCAGCACTCTGAGGAAGTTCTGAGTCACTGTCTGAGCCTCGGCCTAATGCACTTTGCAGGCTTTGTCGTTAGTAACCTGGCCGACTCCTTGCTTTGCAGTTCCCCCCGGTTTATGGCTAAAACCATCTGTGTGAAAGTGGGCCTTGCCAAAGTGTTTGCAGCTACTCCCTATTCCTCCTCCTGCACCTGAAGCCCTGGTCCCCTTCCGGCTGTTTATGACTGTTTGCTGTGGAAACGGCTGGATTCATAGCCCAGGAGGGAGCAGGTGCAGAGGCACCGGGAGAGCAAATGAGTTCACTCAAGTCAATGTGCCTGCTTCTCATTCTGACCCTGAGGAGCAGGGAATGCAGGCCAGACCAGTAAAGGGAGGACTTGGAGCAGGATGAAATGCAGGCTGCTTTTCCCGGAGATGTGAGCTGGATGTGAAATGGCCTCCAGATGTGGGCTGAGAGGTCCCCTAAAGTTTGAAGTTGAGCTTTTAACAGTCTCCCTATGGGGAACCAGAAAAGCCCTCAAGCTGAGGAAGCTTTGTTTGTTTCATTGCACACAGTCCTGGTCTCACGGTTCCTACCACTGTGTGCAGCTGCTGGGCCTGCGTTCCTGAACACCCACATGGGCCTTGACCATTTGGTCATCCAGGAGGACACAGAGCCATCCCACCTGGTCAACTTGCTGCGGGGACAGGAGCTTTCACCCCTGTGTTTGGTTAACATTTAGATGAGAAGGATTATTGTAAGGACCAAGTGAGAGGGTTTGCTGGGCAGTGGGGAACACTACACAAATGCAAACAATCAACTCACTGATTATTGGTGGTAGTGTTAATAGGCCAAGGAGTTGTCTGGAAGAGGCAGACACAACTTACTAAGGGACCAGCCCCTGCTAGGTGATGCTTTTGTTCCAAGTCTTTGTTCAGATCTTTCATTCAACAAGCTATTTTTAAGCTCCTACTATGTGCAGTGCATGGTACTGAGCTCTGCAGGAGAAAAAAGTGCAAGTTAGGAGTCCTGTTCATAAGACCCTTAAAACCTGCTAGCAGAGATAAAGCAAGTGCTACGCTA
Organism: Homo sapiens; assembly: GCF_000001405.40. Lineage (NCBI taxonomy): Eukaryota > Metazoa > Chordata > Mammalia > Primates > Hominidae > Homo > Homo sapiens. The sequence goes on along the minus strand of NC_000002.12, from coordinate 30,662,015 downwards.
ATGAGAAAGGAGCTAGGAAGGGAGGGAGCACTGGTTAGTGTGAGAAGAACACCCATGGGGACAGCAGACAGGAGCTTGGAGTCTCCTGTGCAGCTACTGGGGAGGGGTGTTGGCGAGCAGAGTGCAGAATGGGAGCAGTGGAGATGGTGGAAGGTGGAGGGGCAGCTTGAGTCCATGAGAAAGGTCCAGGAAAGCTGCCTTTTCAAACACCTCGCCACTAGCTTTGTGTCTTTAGCAGTAAGTGAGACTCCTTTTGTGGGATTCCCTGAATAGTCAGAGATAGCATTTGGCAGCCAGTGAAAGAGCTGACTGATGAAATGGAGATCTCTTACTTTTGGGCCAAGAGTCTGTTTTGTTGCTGGCATGGAGTCACAGCCCAATCATGGACAGATGAGAAGGCTCATCCCCTCGGCACCATCTTCTTTGGGAGTCCAACTCTACCAGGTCCCTGGGATTGGGATATTGACCATAGGGTTGAGGCCAGATCCAGCTCTTTCTGTTCCAAGAAGTAGAAGGTTTTCCCTCCAAGCAAATAACCTTTCACTATCTATAGCTACAGCCTTTGTAATATTATGAACAGTCTTAGCTGTTTTTTAACTGAGGCTGGATAGCTCTAATGTTCTTCTACTGAAGGTCAGGTCCCTTGCTGCACAATAAAGAAGTTACCCAGTTTCTTCTGGCTAGTTAGGAGTTGTTATCTTGACCAAGCTGAGGCACAATTCTTCAACTACCATCCCCTCTCCCAGAGTTGTGGTGAGTTCTTTGTCATCTCTGGAGTACCGCTTGCCCAGGAGTTGAAGGGCTGACTTTTACTGGAGGTGGAGATGGTATTCTCAATCCAGACATTTAAGAGTTTAATGAATGCTTCAAAGACTCCTTAATTAAAGTTCCCATAAGACCTAGCAGGTTTATGCAAATTCAGCTCTCCTTCCAATTCCCTACCCCTCACCTTATGCCAAAGTTTTTGGGGGCAGGTCAGTAGATCAGGCGCTACTCTGACCCAAAGCCACACATTTAATGAGGAACAGCTTCATGGTTCAAGCAGCATCACATGCTTTTACTTGATCAACTTCCCAACGCTGCTAATAAAAGCTTTACCTAAAGAGAAGCCTCATGTCCTGAACTAACTACACCCAGCACAACAGCTGTCAGGTCAGATGAGGCCTGTACTCTATGCAGCCTTCTCATTTCAAGCTAAGAATGTTATCGATCTCCATTAGCTGCTTCTGTGATCAACTGCATACTTTTGCATAAGCACTCAGTTGGAATGACTAACCCCATGGAACATTCACATCTGAGGGAGACCAAGTGCTTTTCAGTATGATCCCCGTACCCTCTGAAAAGCAGGGTGACATGGAGTCTGTTCCCCATGGAGAGTTGTGTATGACTGAGGTTCAGGGAGGACCAGCATGCCACCCATGGTCATTTCACGAGCCTAGGGAGTCAGGGACATCCCTCCCCACCTTCCTGCTGTTTGCATATTCTTTGCCAGGTGCCACTTTTCAGTGTCTAGGAAGGAAATTTAGTTGAACCAGGACAATACATTTCTCTGGAATGATACCAAGGGGTGACTGTTAAATGACGTAGGGACCTCAAATGAAATGAACCATTCCTTTCTGAAAGAGCCAACACCTGCTTTCCAGGGGCATTCAGAGTTTGAGCTTCATTGATCATATGGCAGAATGGCTTCTACAATTTTATTATTGATCATGGAAAGTAGCCTTTTATTTTCCCTCCCTCTTTCCTTTTCAGGCTCTACTGTGGAGTGAGTTCATGCCCACTGATCCAACTTACCCCTTGCCCCTATCTTTTCCATCACTAAATCCCTAACTTCTCTAGTTTATAAGGTGCTGATTAGAAGTTCTCTGTGAGCATTTGCTCTCAGTGTCCTGGGTGGCCTTTGGAAGTCTCCCTTCACCCTGCCTCCACGGTTCTGTCTATGAATGTTCAGGATAGGAATAAATACTCTCCCAGCCAGGAGTGGCATGACAGTCCCAAGGGACAGGGTGCCTGGTACACAGTAGGAGCTCAATAAGAGTTGCTGTTATGTGGCCTTGGATGAGTCACTTGCCCTCCCTGGGCACCAGTTTTACCATCAGCTCTCATTTTTGCTAATAATGATGATGGAGGAAAAAGACAAAGAGGAGGAAGAAGAGAACACTAAGAGACACATATGAAAGATGTAGTGTATGATAGAGTGGTTGGGGAAAAGAAAGAAGAAAGAGAGGGGGATGGAAAAGCCAACCTCAAAACATAACAAAGAGGAAGATCTGCAGGAGCACAGGAGTCCCACAGTTGCCCCTACACCAAAGGGCTCCTGGGTTCCAAGTATTTGCTACATGAGAAGGAAAATCCCCCAGCCTCGTCTTTCCTTCAACCCAACAATGGAGCCCTCCTTCCACTCCTGGAAACATGAAAGTTCACATCTCATCATGTCTCAAGCATGTCTTCTCATGTCTCATCGACTTCCACCTTGATAGAAGAGGGGTTTGTGAGATTTAGGGTGTGGGAACCTGGCCTGGGAGAGCAGCGAGAGATTAGACACCCTTTAGTGCTGACCTCTGCCTCCCTCCAATGATCAGAGCCTCAAGGTCATGCTGATGGCAAGAGCCAGTGCCTAGACTGGACAGCAAGGGTCCTGATTCCCCATCCAGTTCTTTATCCTATCTCCTGACACCCTCTACTTATGAAGGAACTTTGCTCAGCCCTTCCATTCATAGAGGGCTTCCAAGCCATGCCCACATTGACCCTTTTCAATAATTCACCCTGGGAAGTGGGTGTCGTTTCCCCATTTTGCAGGTCAAGAAGCTGAAGCTCAGCAGGATTAACTGACTTGCTCAAGTCTTGAATTCTGCCTCCTTAATACATAGCTGAACCACTTCTTTGTGGCAAACTCTGCACCATGCTGAGCTCAAAGTGATTAAATTGGGTCTTGAGTCCTGAGTTGAGGGAATGATGCATTGATTCTTCCCTTGGTTCCTGGAAGTCTTCTAGCTCTAAGGAGACAATGGCTGCTGTGACTTGTCCCTTCCCAGGGTGCTGTAGAGGAACCTGGAGCCCCTGGTACCCATCTGCTTGACCTGGGGGCTGCAGAATATGCCTTAGGCTGTGACTCTTGGGATTCCACACCAGCCTCGTCAGCACTTTGTGTGCCTGACTTCCATCTTCCAGTCTTGGCCTGGGGGAATCCATTTTCCTACTGTTCCGGAGACTTCCACACTGAGTGTCCAGAGGGCTGGACTTCCACAGAGGGTTTTTTTTCCTATGGTATGGGGATACCATGCCTGTATAAAGTGTTGGCCCTGGAGCTTTGGCTACCAAGATGCCAAAATCTCTTTATATTTGAGTCTTTATAAAACCAAATTTTCTTCTGGAGGTGCTCCCATGTCACAATATATACCAAAAACATGACTTGCACCCTTGCATTTCTCCAGCCACTGGGGTGGGACAACAAAGGGGAAGTTCATGGAGAGGTCTATGGAAAACTGATGCCTTCATCTAGTTACCTTCTCTGCCGGTCCACAGTCAATCTTCTGGTTGAGGGTCTAGAGCCTTTATTAGTCAGGAACGCCAGAAGTCAGGGTGACAAGCTAGATGGGAAGCAGAAAAGAGCGAGGACAAGCTGGGACCTGCCAGACACGTTTGCATCTGTTTCACACCATATGCAACCACGACAATTTTCAGAGAGTAATGGCCTCTGCTTCACTTCTGTCTTCCAAATCTCTTACCAGTTGCTGTTTGGCCAATTCTATATGGCTCCTATAACGTGGAGCCATACAGGGAAAAGAATTCTGGGAGTATAGCCCCCAGCTTAACCAAATTAACACAGCACCATCCAACATAGTGTACTTTAGCAAATCACTTCCCTCTGAGTCTTTATTCCTCTTCAGTAAAATAGGGGAAATAATACTAACAATAATCTAACTCAGACTATTGATTAAATAAGAAATATATGCATAGTCTGGCATATTCTAAGTACTCAGTGCTGATATGGTTTGGCTGTGTCTCCACCCAAATCTCATCTCGAATTGTAGTTTCCATAATCCCCACATGTCATGAGAGGGACCAGTAGGGGGTAATTTAATCATGGGGGCAGTTACCTCCATGCTGTTCTCGTGATAGTGAATGAGTTCTCACAAGATCTGATGGTTTTATAAAGAGCCTTCCCCCCACTTCGCTCTGCACTTCTCCTTGCTGCTGCCTTGTGAAGGACGTGTTTGCTTCCCCTTCCGCCAGGACTGTAAGTTTCCTGAGGCCTCCCTAGCCATGCTGAACTGTGAGTCAATTAAACCTCTCTCCTTTAAAATTACCCAGTGGTGGGTATGTCTTTCTTAGCAGCATGAGAACAGACTAATACAAATGCATACTATTTTGCTTATTATAGAAGAAACTCATACATGCTTGTTGAATGAATGAATTGGAACTCTTTGGAGAGGTATAAAGGGGACAGGAAATAAGTCACCCGCCAGAACTTCAGGGCCAAGCTTCCTCTTGTGGGGATCATCTGGGTGGTCTGGCACAGAGAATCAGGCTGGGCTAGGGAGCTCAGCCCCACTTCACCTGCCTCTATCAGTTCTGCTCTTCTAAGTCCAGATAAAGGCTGCCCAGGAGACCAAGCTGTCCAAGAATCAGAAAACCTGAGTTCTGGGCTGGGCACAGTGGCTCACACCTGTAATCCCAGCACTTTGGGAGGTGAAGGCAAGAGGTGACTTGAGGTCAGGAGTTCGAGACCAGTCTGGCCAATATGGTGAAATCCCGTCTTCTACTGAAAATACAAAAATTAGCTGGGCATGGTGGCGGGCAGCTGTAATCCCAGCTACTTGGGAAGCTGAGGCAGGAGAATGGCTTGAACCCAGGAGGCGGAGGTTTCAGTGAGCCAAGATCACACCACTGTACTCCAGCCTGGGCTATAGAGTGGACTCAATCAGAAAGGAAGAAAAGAGAGAAAGAAAGAAAGAAAGAGAGGAAGAGGAGAAGGGAGGAAGGGAGGAAGGAAGGAAGGAAGAGAAAAGAAAGAAAACCTGATTTCTAGCCCTAGATCTGCATCTCTTCAATGTACAAACATAGGTAAGTCCTTCATCTGCCACTAGTCTGTGTCTTCCCATCCAGTTGGACCAGAGAATCTGGGTAGCTTCCTTTGCTGTCCCTCCACAGGGACCTCTGGATGAGATGACAAAGAGAGCTGGTTTGGAAAAACAACTTCAGGCCACTCTGTAAGGACCAATTATTCCACCTCATGGTCAGAATGAGACCACTGCATGTGTATTATTCAAACTAACCTCTACAATACATCCACTCCAAAATTTAATTGTAGGAAACCTATCTGAAATGTAAGATGGTAAGTCCAGAACCCACATCAATTACCAAAAGGTAAGGGCAAGCAGTGATATTTTTTGATCACCTACCATGAATCATGTGTTTTATTTACATTATTTTATGTTTTGTACAGTGGCCCTGAGCTCAGTGTTTTCTCCATTTTCCAGCTGAGGAAACTGAAGCTCAGAAAGGTTATGCAGCCTTGAGATCTGCCCAAGCTCAAGCAAGGGCCCATGATGACACTGGGGTTGAGTCCAAACTGGTCTCGCCCAGAGCTTGTGCAGATGACAAGGCCTTAGGAGACGTTGAAGGTGCCACTCACACTCAGGAATGAACTTATATCTCTGTTGAAAATGGAAACTCAGGCTTGTGCTTTGCTGACCAGGCAGGACAGAGCTGCTGTTGGTCCCTGGAAGTTGAGTCATGGTGGTAAGTGGTCAGGAGTACACGAGGGGAGAAGCAGCACCCAGGATGAGCTCATTATATGGTGTCAGCTGAGCATTGAACCCTGAGATAGGGGCTCCAAGGCAAGGGGACGTTTCCTCACTTTCTATCTTCAGTGGCCCAAGGAAAAGGAGGGGAAGGAAGGCACCTTTATTTCTTACCCTATGGCCTCCTTGAAGGTCTTGCTCCATAATGGGAAGTTTGCAAATGTGGGACACTTCCTCCCCCTGAAATTCTCCAAGGCTGCCTGGAATTTCAGAGATAGGAGCATGTTATCCTCTGGGTATCTGCAAACAGTGGGTGGAATGGAGACCAGCTGTGGCCACAAGGGCAGGGTTTGGGGCCTGAGAGCCCAGTGCTTGCCTTTGCCTGGGTCTGCACACAGCAGGTTTTTGACACACTACCGACAGCTGGCGGGATGAATGGGAGGAGGGTGAAGTCACCAGGCCACAGAACAAGGAATCCAAGGGAGAGATTCCAGAGCAGGTTTGGCAGAGAAGTAGGGAATGTGAGATGCTGGTGCTCCCTGTTATATGGTGAGTAGCGGCCTTCGCCCAGGGAACTATCCTGAATTCATGAGCTGATCCCTCCGTTCTACTCTAACCTCTATAGCCCACCCTTCATGCAGCATGGGAGTGATCTGTATTTAAAACATAAAGCAGGTCATGTCATTACTCGTGGCAACTCTCCAATAGACATACAATATGCAGTGGACATTTTTCACAGCTGCCTGCAAGGTCCTATGTGAAGTGGTCGTGCCCTCCTCCCCTCCGACCACTCTCAGCTCAGTGGCTTTGCTGCAGAACTGCCCACCCTCACGGCCTCCAGCCACAGCGGGGCACAGAGGAGACTCAATGATGCTGGCTGAGTGAGTCAGCAAGTACAGCTGAGATGCTGATCAGAGTGTATCTGCCCATCTTGATATCTTGCTGTCCCCTCCTGCTGAGCAAAAGACCTCACTTTGGAGCCACCCAGTTTTGCACATTCTCCTGCTAGCTTTAACCAAACCCCTCCTTCATCTTCCCAACGTCTAGAAGAGGTTCTTAGGAGGCTTCTCCAGCCCACCCGCCATCATGACGCAGTGAGCACTTGAGCTCTAGACAGGGGAAGCAACTTGGCCAAGGTCTTTCGCGGAGTTTGGTGGAGGTGCAGCCAGGTCTGGTGCTGGCTGTCCTGCTGGAGGGCAGTACCCCCACTGCCCCTGTAGCCACAGGGCCTAGGCTGCAAAATCAGGGGATGCCCCAGGACTCACAGCAGCCCAGAGGGGTCCCTAGATGGAGTCAGTGGCCTCATGATTCCTCTGGGCCACTGAAAGGACCTGGGACCCAAAAGGCTGAGACCCCACATGGGATAAAGTCCAGTCTCAGAATGCCCTGGTTGCCCCATAGCTGTTCTTGGCTGAACTTGAACCTCTGCTCCCAGGGGCCTCTGAGAACATCTTGAGGCAGCCCCAGGGAGGACAACCTCATGGCTCTAGGGAGCAAGGAGAAATAGGGAGGAAGCTGAAGAGGAGGAGAGGGGAGGGGACTTAAGCTCACTGTGTGGTGGGAGAGAAAGACCGTTTCAGCGGCAGCACTTCACAGTTGGCCAAGGAGGCAGGGTGGGGAGGGGGGTTACTGGGGTGGGTGGGCTGGGAAAGGGGATGCAGCAACCTTTGGAGCTTTGCAGAGAGCATTGCCTTTGCAGCTCACCACTCCATACTTGAAGGGGTGAGAGCACGGACCCTGGAGCCAAATCTGCCAAATCTTTCCATCTCAGCTTGAACTCTGCCAGTTAGTAACTCTGTGACCTTGGTCAAGTCACTTACCCCTTCTAAGCCTCAGTTTCCTCACCTGTAAAATGGGGAGAGCAGTAGTCCCTATCTGCAGAAGGCTGTTCTTCGGTAGCTCCAGTGAACCACGCTGGCTCTGGGACAAGCTTTGGCCAAAAGTGATGCAAACGGAGGTTTGGCGAACATTTGCACATAGGAGCTCATCCTTTGGAATATTCCTTCTTAGAAAATTCAACCACCACGCCATGAGAAAGCCCAAGCAGGTGTGTGGAAAAGCCTGCGGGGAGGAGAGTCAAGGACCCTGGCCAAGATCCTCACTGAGCTCCCAACCAGTGGCCAGCACTGCCTGCCAGCCACATGACTGAGGCCACAGCAGAGCTCACCCAGCACCACAGGAGGCAGAAGAAATGCCTTGGCAACCCACAGAGCTGTGAGATAATGAGTGATTCTTGTTATGAAGTCACTAGGGCTTTGGAGGTTTCCTACACAGCAATAGAAAAACTCAAACACTATCTCATAGAGTTATAAGGAGGACTCAAAAAGATGATTCACATGTGTACAAAGCACAGTGCCTGGTGTAGAGCAAGACTCCATATATGCAGCTATTATTTGCACTGTGGTCATTTGATCATCATAGCAAGCTGTGGAATAGTGACCCTTATTGCTGCCCTTATACAAATGCTAATAGGTAACAAGCATGATACTGTGCAGTTTATAAGTCGCTTTCTCATACGTTATCCATATCATGGCAACATGAACCCCGAAAACATTAAGGGCCGTGCCCAAGATTACACAGCTCCTAAGTGGCTGAGCTAGATTCAAACACACATCTCCATAGCCCAAGTATAGTGTCAGTGAACCCCAAACACTGCCTCATGGGCCACAATGACTGGTCTTGGATAAAATGCAACAGTACAGAGACTTAGCTGCTCCCCAGAAAAGCTGACTTGGGATTGCGTCCTACCTATGTGATTTTAGGAAAAAACTTAACCAAGTCTTAAGTTCCACATCTGAGAAAGGGACATAATATGCTTGGCCCAGCTTTTCTCCATCACTGAATGCCATGAGATTTGAATCAAAGAATGGGTGGAAAAGGATAATGGATTTTTTTTTTTTTTTAAGAGACAGGGTCTTGCTATATTGCCCAGAATGGTCTCGAACTCCTGGGCCCAAGCCATCCACCTGCCTGGGCGTCCCAAAGTACTGGGATTACAGGCATGGACCACCATGCCCAGCCGATTTTCATTAGTTTTCTGTAAAATTCTTTGGCAGGGTCTGACCTCCTCCCATCATTACAGCAGATGTGCATCCCAAACAGGACAATTTGGGGTACAAATTGGTCTGTGTGCCCTGTCCTCTGATCAGGGAGAGCCTGGAAACATCTGGTTCCCAGTGGTGAGCTGAGGGTGAAGGGTGCTATTGGCCATCCCTGACCAGGCGTGACTCTGGCCCTGGGCCCTGGGCCAGAGGTATGGTGGATAGAAGCTGCGTTTTGTCTGCCTACCACCACCCCCATTTGGATATTTGCAAGCCCCTCTCATGGCTTATATCCCCTGACCTTCTTTTCATCTGGCCAAGAACCATGAAGCACTAGCCCGGCCCCTCCCCTGCTTGATATTTTCCTTCTCCTTCTCAATGGGAAGTTTGTGGGATGCTTCTGAAAAGTGAATGGGGAGCACAGAGCTTGGTTTAATGACATTCTCCCTTGGTGGAAAAATTGATGGCATCTCATGCCTCAGCATATCTGAGTAAAGACAGGAAGAGAATGAATAAACAAACCGCATGAATATCTGGGAAAAGAGTGCCCCCAGCAGAAGGAACCACAGAGCAAAGAATCTTGAGGCAGGAGTGTACACTTCACTCAGCTCCCCTAAATGCTGCCATCTTACATAGCCAGAGTACAGTTACCAAGCCCGAGAAATTAACGCTGACACAATATGATTAACTTATCGACAGAACATATTCACATTTCGCCAGGATCCAGTTCAGGATCCCACATTCCAGGTAGTTGTCATGTCTCTTTAGTCTCCCCCATCGACAACAATTCCTCAGCCTTTGTCTTTCTTGACCTTGACACTTTCAAAGAGGGCTGGCCTGCTGATTTGTAAATGTCTCTCACTTTAGGTGGTCTGAGGTTTTCTCAGGATCAGATTACGTATTTTTTGCAAGAATAATGTTGTGTCTTTCTCAGGGAGTACCTGACATCAATATCTCTTAGGCCTGGTGGTGTTGGCCTTGATCACTTAAGATGGTGTTTGCTAGACTTCTTCTCTGTAAAGTTTTATTTTTCCCTTTGTAATTAATGCTAGCTCCTGGGGAGATACTGCAAGGCTATGCACGTATCACGTTTCTCATATATTTTTACTCAATTCAGTATCCATCAATGATTTGTGTCTGCAACAATTATTACTGTGGTGTTTGCCAAATGGTGGCTTGCTATCTCCATCATTTTTCAACATTTATTAATTGGAATGCTACTGTAAGGAAGAGTGTCTCCTTCTCCCCATTTACTATATATTTAATTTTTTGTTACTATGAACTTATGAATATTTCCTGTACCCTGTGGGTTATCCGTTCTATCATTATTTTGTTGCTCAAATTGTTCCAGCTTTGATGTCTGGGGACGCCTTTAGGTTGGCACCTGTGACCTTTCGATGTGCCACATGAGGAGTTTTTCAGATACACCCAGCTTCACATTCCGATATCCTGATACCATCGTTCTGGAGCGAGGCCTGGCTTTTGGACATTCCCACAGCTCTCCAGGTGGTTCTGTTATTTAGCTTGGGTGAAATCCTTTGGTGTAGCTCAGTGTCATCAATTTACAGATGAGGAAACTAAGATGCAGAGAGATCAGAGATGGGAAGGGACGTGCTCCGTGTTACAGCTGTGGAGTTGAGGGAGCTGGGTCCACAGCCCTGTCTCCTGATCACCAGGCCTGGCTCTCCCCGACTCCTCCCTGTCTTTCAGAGCCCCGGCTGCCAAATCACATGCCAGACACAGACATCCAGAAAGTGGTTCTTACACCGGGGACACCCCAAGACCTTTTCAGGGGGTCCATCAGGTCAAAACGGTATTCTCTGCTCTCTGATTGGGTAGTGTTTGGGGAAATACTAAGATGTTATTTGCCTTTTTTACTCTCATTTTCTCAAAAGTGTACAGTGGAGTTGTCCAGAGGCTACATGACATGCGATATTCAGCAGGTTGACTGTGGAACAGGTATGAGAATTCAGCCTCTAGTAACCCAGACATTGAAGAGATGGGCAAAATGTAAAACAATGCCATACTTCTCACTAAATTTTTGTTTTGGAAAATAGTTATTTTTGATAAAAATTAATCATTTACTTTAACATATAATACATTTATTTTAAATATATACACATATATTCATAAACATAGATATATAAATATACATGAATATTATGACTATAAACATAGTCAAATATAAATATACATAATATACAAATATGAATATTTGTTACAGTAAATATTGATGGATATAATCCACATAAAGTTCTTTAGAGGCCTCAATAATTTGTAAGTGTGTAAAGAGGTCTCAGGACTCAAACGTTTTTCTAGAATATTCTAGAAATGGTTTTCTGCTTTTCTAGAGTATTCTAACCAAATGGGACATAACAACTTATAATAAAACAGGACCTACCCTCTACTACCTTCAAATCCTTTGGCACTGCTGGAATCTCGGAAAGTCTCCATCACCCCTTGACCTACCACCACCTGTCATGGCCCTAATGTAATCTGTTTCCACCTGGGTTATGTGCTGCACGAGAACAGCAGGCTCCTCATCTCTAATGCCTTCTGCAAAAATAAACACAGAAGGACTTAGCAGAATGCACGGGCAAAACACAGTGCACTTCACACACGTGAAAACAATAGATATTTCAAAATTAAACTATTTTAAAAGTTTCTGAGAAACAACAGGACAACTGAAATATCTGATAAGGCAATTAGCCTTTGAAGGAGCTGTAGTGGAAGTGCAATTCTCAAGTAGTAGCTGGAGCTCAGGAGTAGCAGAGGAATATCAGCCAGAGATGAGAAGTCCTTCTTTAGCATCCACACTCCTCTGGCTAGTAGGAGCAGTTTGTGCTAGTGAGTCATGGGGTGTTTTAGCCCCACAATTTAAGGAGGCAATGATAAAAATGCGGAGGTCATGTTGTTGTTTAGTTCAAACAAGTTAGAGGGAAAATAAGTTTCTTGAGCACCAGCTGTGTGACTGGTGCAAATATGAATAAGATCTAGTCCCAACCTTCAGGTCTGTGTGGTCTCCAGGAGACAGGGGAGAGGCCTTTAGGACAGCATAGTGGGCTCCATGATGCCAGACTGCATAGTGAGGCCTCTTCAGGAGCGGGTGCCACAGCTCAGCCAGGGCTTCTTACAGGCCACGAGCAAGGGAGCATCATTCCTCGAAATCCACTTTCTCCAGCCTGGCTGTGCGTGAGAATCACCAGGGAGGGTGCCTGTCTTCATTCTGGGGTTGGGTGAGAAGGCCGGCTGCCTGTAGTTTTGAAGTGTCCTGGGTGATTTCCATGAGCAGCCAGGGCTGAGGACCATGATTCTAAATCAGACTTTCCTCAGCCTACTATAGCCACCAGCAAGGACCAGCTGCATAATTTGCAAGGCTTGCTGCAAAAAGAAAATGGGAGGTCCTTTGTTCAAAAACTATTAAGAACTTCAAGACAGCGACAGCAGAGTATGGGCCCCTTTTGAGGGCAGGGCCCTATGCAGATGCACCAGTTGCACACCCATGAAGCTGACCCTGTCTCCAGCCACTGTTTCCCCCACAACTTCCCTAGAAGGACCCATGGCTGACTTATCCTCAGTGGCTCTCCTGAGCAGAATCCCCGGCTGGCTCCTCAAGGCAGCTGGCTCTCCAGCCATCATAGCCTCAGGATGAGTGAAGTTATCTCCACCAGAGGAGGCAGGCTGGGGACATCTTCTTGGCTCTGTGCACCCTTCTCCTCCTCGGAATGATCTCATGCTTCCTCAAAGCCCATGCCTGCTGTTGCCTGGCTGCAGGCGCAGCCTCACATTTGTCACTGTGCACTCGCACCCCCTGAGCAGTCCACCCCCTTCCTAGGCCCACTCCCTGCCACCAAAGGAACCAGCCCTGGGGAACCAAGTCTGCTGCTCCCTTCCCTGGCAGGTGCTGGGCATAAGGGGTTATTTCTTAGATGGAGTTTCAATCTTACAGCACGAAGAGTTGAAGAGAAGGGCCCTTTCTCCAGCCAGCCCATGGGATAGAAAATTCCCATTGTCAGCAAGGTGGATATAAATGGTAACAGGGAGCAGGCTGTGGTCATTTGTCATTTCATAATGGTTTCTGGAGATTGCACTGTCAGCTACTGTCCACAACACCTACTTAGCCCCTGGGCAATGGACAAGGTGGTAACAGGGTCAGTGCCCTGTGCTCACCAGGTATGTCTGGGAAGCCTTCAGGCCTGCCTGCACCCAAATTTTTGTACCAGATACAAGGCTATGCCTTGGCACAGGATGCCCTCTCTTGTTTATTTGCCCTCTTCAGTTCTGTCTGGTTGGCTTCACATTCTGGAAGCTAATGCTTCATAAACAGTGGTGGTTTTTTTTTTTTTTTTTCAGAAGGAAAAGAGTGTGTGTGCACATATACACACGTGTGCATAGGGCAAAGAATAAAGCTTATTTATTTTTTGAGATAGAGTCTTTCTCTTTCACCCAGGCTGGGGTGCAGTGGTGTGATCTTGGCTCACTGCAACCTCTGCCTCCTGGGTTCAAGTGATTCTCCTGCCTCAGCCTCCCGAGTAGTTGAGACTACAGGCACGTGCCCCCATGCCGGCTAATTTTTGTATTTTTAGTAGAGACGGGGTTTCGCCATGTTGGCCTCGAACTCCTGACCTCAAGTGATCTACCCGCCTCGGCATCCCAGAGTGCTGGGATTACAGGCATGAGCCACTGCGCCCAGCCAAATAAAGCTTATTTATGTTTGCATCTTCCCCAGTCCTAAGCCAGGGCCCCACATCCAGTAGTTAATATTTACTGAATGCAATCAACTTATAAATTACCTCGGGCTTCCAGAACACTTACGACCAAATGCTCATTTTACAAATGAGGGACCAGAGGCCTAGAGAGTGGAAGCCCTAAGTCTGAGGTCTTAGAAGAGCAAGCACCCTGGCTGCTCATGAGTATCACCTGGGAGCTTTTATGGCTCTGGAGGTTCAGGCTGCACACCTGAGCAATGAAGTCAGGGTCCTGAGGGTGGGGCCTGGATGCAGGTATTAAAGTTCTGCAGGTGATTCTAATGCACCTGGTTTAAGCGTCCTGGCCTGGGAGGGAGGAAGCAAAGCCTGGAGCCAGGCTGGGGAGAGCCCTGTCTGTGCCCTGCTCACTCCCCACAAGTGGGGATGCTTGAGAGGTCATGTCAAGGGGGCTTTTGGGGACAGTTTGCAGAGGGAGGTCTTTGGGGAGACCCTATTGGTGGCAGAAGAGCTGGCCGGATTTGATGAATGTTTATCTGGGACTCTTCCTGGCTCTGCTAAGGGACTCGCACTTTGGCTGGAAGTCCCAGGATAGGAAAAGGGGTGGCAATCCCCCTCCCGCATCCCTCCCAGAAGGTTCCTGAGTCCTCACAAGCTCCCACAGGCAGACGGCTATGGCGAGATGGTCTTCCCCATACACTGGCCTCTCAGCCGGCACCACAACTGCCCAGGACCGGCCGACCTGCTGCCTGCATTGACTAGGTGGAGTCCTATACCAGTTGCTTCAGAAGTAGACTCAAAACTACTTACCGTAAGTAGTAAAACCCTTAAGCTTATGTAGCACTTACCAGACTATTAGGTAGATGAGCTTCCATTTTCATTCTTCACAAATATACCCCAAAGTAGGTATTGTCTTGTGTTTTTGGTGACTGATTTCACTTAGTATAATATCCTCCAGATTCATCCCCATCGCAAATAACAGTTCCCTCTTTTTAAGGGTTAATATTCCAGTGTCTGTGTGTATGTGTCTCTACACACCACATTGTGTTTATCCATTCATCGACCAATGGATATTTGTGTTGCTTACTCCTTTTGGCGCTTGTGAACAATGCTGCTAAGAACATGGGAACAGCTAAGACAGTAACCAGTATAATTATACCATGGACTATTCAATCAGTTCCCCACCACAGACATTTAGGTAGTTTCCAGTATTCTTATGGAGAGGGCTATGGAGTTTTGTGTGTGCACCTTACAATTATTATCGTTTTTGTTTTGGCTAGTGTATTGTTGGAATAGGTTCTTAGAAGCAGGATTGTGGGACAAGGGTAAATGTGTAATAATTATGTTAGACCTTGGCGAGTTCTCCTCTGTTCAAGTGTAGAAGAGGGCATGGCGAAATCACCTGAGCAAGGCTTCCTGAGGGCACACATGTTGAGCCCACTTTTCTAAGAGTTCAGATACTAATATTTTGGTGAATCATATCAAAAATACTTTTATTCTTGTCAAAAAATCTATTTTCCAGAAGTAGATGGACTTGCACTTCAATTATTATTATTATTATTTTTGAGACAGAGTCTCGCTGTGTTGCCCAGGCTGGAGTACAGTGGCACAATCTCAGCTTACTGAAACCTCTGCCTCCTGGATTCAAGTGATTCTCCTGCCTCAGTCTCCTGAATAGCTGGGATTACAGGCGCCCGCCACCACACCTGGCTAATTTTTGTATTTTCAGTAGAGATGGGGTTTCACCATATTGGCCAGGCTGATCTCAAACTCCTGACCTAAGGTGATCCGTCTGCCTCAGCCTCCCAAAGTGCTGGGATTACAGGCATGAGCCACCACACCTGGCCTTTTTAAAAAAAAAAAATAAAATAAATTTAAATTTTATTTTATTTTAAATTTAAATTTAAAAAATTTAAAAAAATTTTTAAATTTTAAATTTGTAAACTTCTCCACCCAGCTTTCATTTAAAACAAACAGGATGCTTTATGAATGACTTCAAGCAAACATCATTAAGAATGTATTGTGCAAAAAGAATGGCTGGGCTGAACACTGTTTGGGATAAGAGAAATGAAAGCTTATAATCCAATGGAGGTGATAAGATTGAAAAATAACTGTAACATAAGACAGCTTGTAATACACTCAAGCGAGAGCTGCAGAGAAATATCATCCATGATAGGAGGAGGACATTTCAAGCTAGATTGAACAGGATAAGCTTCAGAGAAAAAGTGGGATTCAACTAGACTCGGGCTGGTTAAGAAAGCACCTTTCACAAATGAGAAATATGTGCAAAGTTGGGAAAGGGAGAGGGGACATGAGGAGGTTTGGGCAACCAGCTGTGCTCATATGAAAAGGTTCGCACAGGAGAAAATGCCTAGAAACAAGGTTAAGCCTAGGCTAGAGGACCCAGGGGAGGCAGAGGTGTCTAGACTGTCCAGCAGTTGGTAGGAAGCACTGCATTATGAGAAGGGAAGCTCCATGATAAAACTGGTGTTGCAGTATGATCAAGGAACAAGTCCAGTGCACCAGGATTGGCATCGGGAGAATGTGGGAGCAGGAAACTGATTGGATGTTGCCAGACCTGCCCAGGTCTGATGCAATAGTTGTGTGCAGAACACAAGTAAGAAGGGCCCTGAAGAGGAAGACACGGGTGGTAGTGACAGCTTGAGTGTCCAGGAAGGAGGGACGCTGCAATATTCTGAACCTGCAGCACTGGGAGAATGTGAACTGCCTCTGCCAACAGGGAGAGCCATTAGAGCTGTAGTATTTACACTTCAAGAAATTTCCCATAAGGAAATGCTCTCAATACTGATCTCTGTGGAGGCAATGACTGAATAATTCAGATGGACCAATTGTTGATGAGATTGTCCAGACACAGCTATGGAGAACCCTTAGGTTCCCAAGTAACCCCTGATGTGGATAGACAAGGCTGCTCAGCCTCTTGATGCCTCTCACTGCACAGGAAATCACAGTCATTTGCTCCAGCCTCCCAGTCCTCTCTCCACTGGGAGGCTGGGAAATTTGATAGTTGTGGTGGACATTTGTGGTAATTTGGCCATCCAGCGTCAGTTCATCCTGTTCTTGATAACAAGTGTTTAATTTTTGTCTTAAAAGTCATCCCTCCCCCATCCATGCTGTCCAGGTTACTCAACAGGCTCCGCAAGTAACCCAGGGCTGTAACACACATCATGTATCTGGGCAATTGACTGGTCCAGGAATGGGCACTGAAACCCAATATGGGGTTGCTGTTGCGCCATAGGGACAGCAGTCTCTCTTGTTCTTTCCCACTGGACTTGAACCTGAGAGGATGCAGGGCTGAAGTGGCTGCAGGCACCATGCCACCCTACATGGATCCTGCAAATCAAGCCAAGGACAGCACAAGTTCTCTTTAGTAATTTAGTTTAAAAATATCAGTATGAAGGTGCACTGTATATGTGTGGATTAGTATCTTATGTCCATCCCAGGACATACTAGCTGGAATTTGAAGCCCTCACTAGAAATCCACCCTCCAGAGAGGGTTGCTTAAGCCTTTTATATAATTTATCAGTGAAATGAATAATGCTGAAGCTAAGTAGGTGGTGAGAAACAAAACCCTTCTCTTCCTTTTGCTTAAACGGAGGACAGGAGTCCCACAAACCCAATGTCCCAGTCTGTGGGACTGGCGCTCTTGGGGCCGGGTCTGTGCTCTTCTGGTCCTGCATTCCCCTTTCCCAGGGAACAACGTTGTGGACTCCCCTCCACATGAATCTATCACACAAAGTGCTCACTTGAGAAGACAGAGTGGGGCATTGCAGAAGGCCCCATTACAAGAGGCTCCGTGATTCTCATGTGTTTGTCTGTTTGCTAAGCACATTTTTATACATTTGTCAGATTTTGGTCCAAGATTTGCTTTTATAGTTATATACTCCCCAACGTGAGGTCAGGGACTGGAGCACAGAGTCCCACTTATCTTAGGTAAGAGTTGGTCATGCTGATATTTATATAAGATCCCACATTTGTGGAACAACCAAATTGTTCTCAATAGCAAGGCTGTGCTAAGAGATGGAGGAAAATCAAGTTCTGATGACATTCGTTGAGTCCTTAATTCAATTGTGGTGCCTGGACTTTTCCTATTATGGAGGTAGTACATTGTTTTCTTGATTAGGCCACTTTTCTTGACATCTGTGGAAAAAAGAGACCTAACTGGCCAGGTTTTTCCTTAACACTAGACACTGCAATGCAAGGCATTGTGGGGAAAAAAGTAGCACCTTAACTTGCAGTTACTTGTTATTCCTGCAAAAACAGAACGTAACACACATGTAAACTATTTAATTCACTCCTTTATTCTGGGATGTATATTACAGATAACACAACTCACAAATATACCATCAGACATTGAAAACTAAGGCCATTCTGTGAGTTATTTTTAAAACTTGGTGTTTTGCACATAATGATCTTAAAAAAAAATGAATTACCAAAACCAAGATTCTCTTCTAAAATGAAAATTTAATGCAGGTACAGGATAACTTTAGGGCTATATCTAATCTGAAGCTTATCAGGTAGCAAAACCATTTTCGTTTTCTACAGCATAAATAACAGCTCTAAGGCAACCACTACCTCAGCATGAAGCTCATTTCTCCACGTTAGAGTAGTGTTTACCTGCTACAGTGACCAGTGTTTAGAGACCATTTCCCTTTCAGTAGCAAAAAGAGACTTTACCTAAGAAACACACTACATACTACAGAATCCTTGGAACAAGAAACAGAAAGGGAGCTGTAACTAAGGCACTGAAAGCACATTATTTGTATAAAGAAATGTAAACAATTTAACACCAACAGGCTCCCTCCGTTGGAGTCTTTATTGTAAATGCACACAGGGGCATCATAGTCAGGGCTAGAGTTTGAAGTCTGGGTGAAACAAATGTTTCTGCAGAGTTCAGAGTCTTGGCTGCCAATATATTTCTAACATGGTGCTGTTGAATTAACTATTTCAAAGTGACTCAAGTGGAAGCTGGTATTTCCCTTGAATCTGAGTTTTAATAGCATTAACAAACAAGGAAGAATTTTATAGGAGTCCTAAAATTACGGGCTCTTTCTAACATTTATTTGAGTCTTTTATCAAGTTCTTCTAATGAATTTTAGGATTATTTTGGCTTATTTCATCAAGGAAGTTTGGTGTAAGAACTTGTTACCTAATGAGTGCCCCTCCTTGTAAGTTCATATTTCAAGTTACATGGTTCATGCCATAAATAAACCACACTTGCTTTAACATCGTTCAGAATGGTACATTTAACAATTGGACATACAGCACTGTAAACAATTCAAAGTCCATTGAGCTTACCATGAAAGAACTGAAACGTATGTAGGAACTGTGTCCTGCTGCAGACAAGCAGCTGCTCTGGCTCTGGTGCGGTGCGGTGCAGTGAGGTGAGGTGGGCAGGTGTGGAAGGGAGAATTCCTGAGGCCAGTCACAATTATTGAAGCTAAATTAATTTCTTCCTGACACTTTAGCATTAATTCTAAGTAGTTCTAAGTTCTAAACCATTAACTGTATAGTTAATTTTTTTAAATCAAAGAAGAAAAAGGCTTTCACACAGATGAATGTATAGGAAAACACAAGTAATGACAATTTTCAAGAGCCTTATTGTAAAAAAAGAAAGAAAGAAAAAAGGACAATTATTTTTGGAGTTACTGTCTCTAATTCTTAAAAAGTAAGTACAGTGTCTGTATCTCTAAGTTTTAGTGCTATACAGCACTAAATGTACTTTATGAATTTGGGGTAGGTAAAGTTTGTATTTTATCTTAAACATGTTTTCTATGATGAAAAGGAACAAAATTGTAAAAAATGAGGATCTTCCCTCTAAAGGTTTCAAAGCGTTAGAGGACATGCAATTAAATGTTGTTACACCTTGAACAATGAGCCTCTTGAGTTTGTAGGAAGGGCAGACCGGCTCCATTACCAACAACTTTGGGGTAGAAAGCACAGCTCTCCTCTTTTACCCAGCACAAATGCAATCCTGATTATAAAACTATTTGTGTTTCTAAATACAACCAAAGGAAATCTTAGAGAAACATAAATTAGAAACCTCTTTTATTAAGGGGAAACAACAAAAAAAGGTGCTTTTTTAAAAAAAAAAAAAAAAAAAGAAAAGAAAAAGAAAAAACAAGCTGTAAAACCATGAAGTTAAAGAGCTGGGTCTGGAGCAGATGTGCATAATAACTAGTTAGTTGCTCCCAGCAGGATCAGAAACAGCTTTGGGGGAGCAGAGGAATATGGGTTGGTGTGTTTCAGAAGAGGCACCAGTTAATACTCTTCCAATAAAAATGATGTGTCAACAGTGTTCAGCCTCAACCAGTGCTTTCTCACAGAATCTGCTTGGTAAGTTCAGTTCACAATGTGTTTACCTTTCATGGCAATGCACGATGCAATTATTGGGTAGGTCACTGTCAAGCAAAAACGAGATATAATTACAGAGAAGGCATTAATGCCCAAAGAGTACATAAAGCAGTAAGTAGCTTCTGAGGCTGGTTCAATGCAGAAGTAAAACTAACAGGTTTGCTAACAGCTAAAGACTTTTAATTGCCTCATATTTTCTGCAGCTCTGACCAGCATCCTTCTTACACGACAAAAAAAAAAAGAAAAAAAAAAAGAAAAAAAAGTGTGCAGCTCCAACAGAGTGAAAATGACAACACTTTTCTTTTGCCTCAGAAGAAGACTGGTGCTTGGTGTGCTGGATTTTCCACTGACTCCAAATGACAAGAATATTTGGGCAAACAATTGGTCAAAAGTGGGTTTAAATATTACTATTGAAAAAGGAAGGCTAAAACTAAAAAGAAAGATCACTTGCTATCATTATTAAGGATTAATTTTTGTGTTTCATTTTGGTTTTAAGGTAAAATTTGTCAAGGCTACAAGGGGTTGAGTAATTTAGGATAAACCATTACTGCCCTGTCTGCAAGCCATTTGTTGTTTTAATGGTAGATGTTAGATACCCAAGCACATGTAGAAAAAACAACCTTCCTTTTTTGGTAGGTTGTAAAGAAATATTTCAAAAGACAGTTTCTGACTGGAATGACAGAATGTTCTGAGTGTTCCTTTAAAAAAGTATGTGACTTCATGTATACCATTTTTAACAGAAAAAGCTACACCTGCCAAAATGTTGTAAGAAAACCAGCACTAAGCATGCAATACTGAGTGTGAGAAAGGAACTTAAACTGTATTACTTCCTATCTTTTAAAATTCAAACTAAAGTTTCAAAGTGGAGAGCCTGTGGTTGCTCCCTGAGTCCAGGTTTTATCTTCCACGAGAGAAAAGGGCACAGGTGGTCTTCTGACGTCTTGGTCAGCATACAATGTTATGAATAATGAAGGGCTTCCTGTCAAAATGCTTGATCGGTTTCACGACAAAGGGGGTTCCATTTTCTGATCTTAAGGATGAGATGGGTTTGGCGCAGGAAGAAGGACGCCAAGGGAGGGAGCCTGGGCACCACCTGCCTGAGTACCTGGAGGGACAGCGCTCACCTCAATGAGGTGACCTGGGCAGTCCAGTAACAGCATGTGATCCGGGCTGTTGTTGACGAGTTCCAGATCTGCCTCTGGTACGGGGAGTCTGTTAGGATTGGGCCTTTAAGAAAAATGTGTGTGTTCCTTGTCGCTAAAAGCCTGATGATTGTTTAATAATATTCTGGCCCAAGTTATTTCACCCCGATCACTCCCTGCTATGTACACAGTATCGAAATTACATTCAGAGATTAAAAAAAATTGTAGCAATATTTTTCCCACAAAATTAAGTGCAAAATATCTTTAACAAATAATGATGGCAGTAAGAAATATTCGACATAGTCATGCAAAAATGCATCTGAGCTTAGAAAGGTTTAGAACATTTCCAAAATATGCTCTAGGTTTTCACATGGCAAACCTTATAATCTTACTCATTTTTCTTTGAATTTAAATGTGGCTGTTTGTGTAAAAGTCGGTAACATGCAAGTTCTATGATCTCCAGTCCACCAAATATTCTCTCTTGCAGCACAAAGATTACAATGGTGATTATAAAATACCACTTAACAAGACTGTACAAATATATGAGTAGGCACATTGCAGGGCTGAACAGGGTCCAATACAGTATAGAGAGCAATTTGACCACAAGGACCCTGAGTTCAGACTTGCAAGGTGGAATGACACTCTGTCCGGTAAAATAAAAATTCTTCTCCCCTTGATAGAAGGAACGCAGCCTCTCTTCTTTCTCTTCCCACCGTTTGTGGCACCAGAGTTGAAGGTCCTCCTTGGATGTGGGGAGGGTGTCTATTGGATACCGGTGGACGTGAAAGTGGATTTCCCTGGGAAAGTCTCCTTGGAGGAGGTGCTTCTCTGATTGAGGAATGTTGTGAGGATACGCCACAGTGATATCATGGACAGCATCAAGGTTCTTACCTGGGTTTCGAAAAGATGAAAACATAGATTAAGCAGTGCTCAATTTGGGTGATAATGCTGATTCACACTGCAGGGCAGCACCAGAAACCGAAAAATCAGGACAGTGTGAACCACAATGAACAAACAAGGGTTAGAGATACTGGTGTTCCTGGACACCTGGGTCAATATTTACCAGTCATCTTTAGTTTTATTTCCTGCTTGCTAATTACCACAAAATATTTAGAAAGAAAATATCTTCATTTGCAGAAACAGTAATCTGCCATTCTAAAACTACTAAGCACATTAACTCAAATTTGAGATGGGAATTAAACATTACAGGGCTAGCTCCTTAAACACCAATAGAATTCAGTTTTGATACCTCCTATTAATATAGCCATCTCTCCAAATAAAAGTAGACTTTCTCACCTTTAACCCAATGTTACCACGATAGCTACTGAAAAGAAAAACTTAACTTAAAATCAGACTTAGGTGGTGAGAAACATGTGAAAACTACCATATACTTTTTTATTTTAAAAAACATCAACTTGAGCTACAGGGGCACACACCTGTAAGCCCAGGTACTCGGGAGGATGAGGTGAGAGAATCGCTATTGCCCAGGAGTTCAGCCTGGACAATACAGTGAGACTCCATCTTTAAAAATAAATAGATAAATAAACTTGAACTCCAAGTAAGACCCTGATCCTGTATCCTGTCATCCTGAATTTAACTTAGGGGGTAAAGTGTTTTCACTTAAACAGGCCAGAGTGCTAGATGCTGGAGATAGACAGTCAAGTAAGACATGGTCCTAAACCTCACTCAAGATGTTCTCAACGTAACTGGGGAGGCAGGCATGCATAAAGGCCTAAATAGACCTTATGGGAACACGTAAGGTGTTAGTAAAGGAGAGGAATGAGGTGGGGTAGTGGCAGAGCAAATGTTCTGGCAGAAAAGCACAGTGGGGATGGGAACACTAAAAGTGGGCAGGAGCCATGTGGTCCAAGACCCCATGTTATTCTTCAGAATTTAAACTCAATTCTGTAGGTGGCAGAGAAGCATTTTACATGGTGGAGAACTACTTAAGGATTTCAGACAGAAGGAACCCATATGTTTCATTTTAGCAAAGATTACTCTCTGCGGGCAGTGACCAGAATGGTTTGGAGAGGACCAAGGGCAAAAGAGGTAGAATAGTTTGATGGCTACTACAATACAGCAGGCAAGAAATGGAGAGGACGTAGGGGCCAAAAAAGACATGTCCAAAAAAGTTACAAGGAAGAACGGATGTGACACCGTACAGTGGCCAACTGGATGTGGGAGACGGATGTGACACCGTACAGTGGCCAACTGGATGTGGGAGAATGGGGAGGAGGAGCAGGGAGGAGTCAATCCAGGTTTGTTTTTGGCTCAGGGTACCAAGTAGATGGTGGGGCCATAGAGATTAGAAATGTAGGTGGAGTGTTGGACCTGTAAGGGACCTTGGGGATCACTTAATCCAATTCTTTATAAGAGGCCGAGAAGTTTGGAATTTTGCCCAAGGGCACACGGCTTGTTGCTGCGGAGTCTCTGAATGTTACTTTCTCCTGAACCATGTTACCTTCAGTGAGAAACTTTTGATGAGGACTTTGATTACTTACAGAACCATATGATGCAGACAAAACTAATCTGTGCTGATAGAAATCAGAACAGTCGTTGCCTGTGAGGGTGGGAAACGATGAGAAGGGAGCATAAGGAAATTTTCTGGGTGACACATTCTAGATTCAGGTGTGGATTACATGATGCTTACATATGTCAGAAAAATCAGATTGCACATTTAAGACATGCACATTTCACTCTTTACATTTTACCTCAATAGCAGTAATAAAGATAGGAAGCAATTCCCCCACCTTATCCCACATTTACCCTTTCCACTGAACAGGTTAGGTTGTATTCACTTTTTAAAAAATGATTATTCAAGTTTTCTGCAAATGTTTGTCAGTCTCCATTACTCTGTGATTTACTTTAGGGTAAGAACCAGGCTTCAATTTGGTTTCATAACTGAATTACAAAATAATCAGCACTTAATGAGAGCTGCTTTATAAATGAAAATGCCTACATCAACAGGCTTAGATTCAAAGTTGAAATGACAGCCCTTCAGGAGTGCTGTATATTGTTCGCAGGGGGTAGAGGAAGTGCAAATGAAAGCCTCACTGAAGAAAGCTTCAGTGGAGCTGTATTTGAAGAGAGACTAGGCCAGACCTGCTTGGCTCCAAAGAAGAGAACTGGGGGCTGGGTGCGGTGGCTCACACCTGTAATCCCAGCACTTTAGGAGGCCGAGGCGGGTGGATCACCTGAGGTCAGGAGTTCGAGACCAGCCTGACCAAGATGGTGAAACCCCATCTCTACTAAAAATACAAAAATTAGCTGGGCGTGGTGGCGCACGCTTGTAATCTCAGCTACTTGGGAGGCTGAGGCAGGAGAATTGCTTGAACCCGGGAGGCAGAGGTTGCAGTGAGCTGAGATCGTGCCAATGCACTCCAGCCTGGGCAACAAGAGTGAAACTCCGTCTCAATAAAAAAGAACTGGGCCAGTAGTCAGAAGCCCATGGGAAAAGCTTTGTGACTGAGCTATCAAGAGGTGATCTATTTACCATTTGAGAAAGGGCTGGCGCTGACCACTTGCCTTGTATGCTACAGTGGGAATTTACATGCTGAAAGGTGGGCTGTCCGATCAAGTATCTAAAAAAGACCCTATTCCATTGCTGATAGACTGAGTATGATACATTCCTTAAGATGTTAATATGTCTTACCTGTTAACTCACTTGCATTAAAAAAAAAAACCAGCAATCTTTCATCTCTATTACTTCATGAGAGATGAAGCTTTTCCTTGACTAGACAGTACAAGCTAGTTTAATATTTTAGAGCACTCTCTATCTGCAGACCTCAGAGGCCATTCATTTCTGCCCGCCAACCACAACCATAATCCTTGTTTTAGGTGCCTTTCCTCAGTGCCACTCACCCTTTCCTTTCTCTCACATGGAGGTAAATAAGATGTCTTTACCTCTTGTAACTTGTCATGCCAATTAGCCAGATTCAGGACTATGTTCACATTTCATTTACTTTCAAAACTCCTCGGAAATCAATACTTCTGCTTCTAACATCTGTGTAAATACTTCTCTCCTCAATCAGGATTACAGGTCTTCATCAGTATCACCTTTCACAACAGCCTTGACCGATCTCCTTTCCCCATGTAGCTCCTTCTACCTCTCTACTCAGTCATTCTACGTGAGTGTCACAGTCAATCTTAAAATCTTAGGAACAGCTCATTCACATGGCCCAGCCTTTCTCATACAGGTGGTTCCTAATGCTTACGGATCAAATACAGTCATGTGTTTTTACAAATTGGTATCAAAATGGTGAGAAGAATGCCCTTTTCTTTCTTCCTTCTTCTTGATGATCTATAGTAAAGGTGTGTGTGTACCATGTGTGTCTGTGGGATTATAATGTTCAGTACAGAAATGGCAAGTTTTGAGATGGCAAGTTTGATGGCACCACTGAGAAATTTTCCTTGATGAAAGATTCTAGATTCATGGCAGCACCGAGTGTGGAGGGAGGGCTGTGGACACAGACTGCCTGGGATCCTGGCTCTGCCTCTTGCTGAGTTACTCAATATCTCTGTGGCTTACTTAGTTCCTATATCTATAAATTACCTAAGAAGGTTGTTGTGAGGCTTAAATAGCAAATTCTCAATAAAGGCTGTTTACTAGGCTGTACCCTTTTTCTCTAACTTTACCTCCTGGAGTCCACTGATACCAACATAGTAGTCAGGGTAAATCACATTTCAATACTATCTCCATACCACTGTCAACAGCACTATTCACCTGGGTGCTGAGAATGCCAATTAGAGGCCTCTTAATTTAACTTTCCTACTCAACACAAATATTCTAACGAATATTTCACAAAATTGCCAAAAATACTTCCTCTGCCTCAAATATTCAGCCTTTTTTCCTGACGTATTTCATCTCAAATCCCTTCAATGTCTAGTTCAAATGCCAAGGGTTCTAAGAAGAAGCTTGTTCAAGTACCAAGGCCCAAAGTGGCCTTGCCCCCTGTGAATGCTTAAAGCACGTACACTGATAACCTCATTTGGGTACCTGGTTGCCATCCTGTGCCCTTACTAGATGCTCAAGTACATTAAGGGCAAGGACCATGTCTTTGCTTTTTTAGACTCAGTACCTAGCACAATGCCCTCCACTAAAAAGGCTCTAGAAATGAGTAGTTGACCAATATTTGTATAGTCTGCTATCTTCTCATCTAAAAATATAGAAGATAATTATAATGCTCTCTCGATTGAGTTGTGTTAACAATTTGGTGAACTAATGTACAGTGAGCTCTTTGGACAGTACTTGGCACATAGTAAGTTTTGGATGTTAGCATCTACTACAATTTCTATGACTTGTTCCATGGTATTTTTTTTTCTTTCCAACTTGGGTTCTATGAAGTCTTGGTTCTGAAAGAATTATAACAATCTTGTGAAGGGGGAAAGGGTTCACTTTACAAAAAGGTAATATTCCAAAAGTTTTTTTAAAATTGCTTGTTTAAAATCTAGAACTTTAGAATGATATTATAATTTAATTAAAATGTCATCTATATTATAAGCAAGTAAAGAGTAACACTGTAATGTTAGAAACTAAAAAAGACAAAGTGATGAAGGGAACTAGGTGTGGAGAGAAGAAAGACAGCTTACACCTTGACACTCATTTCCTTGAGCAGTGCTGGCAGCCTAGGCTTTCCTTAAGCATCATAGAGACTCGAAAATGTGTTAACTCCAAAAGCAAGAGAGGAGGAAATGGAGAATGGCTTTTATACAAGGAGGGAGAGTTGACTATCTTGATACTTTTATTTTATATATATATATATTTGTGTATATATATATATAAAGACAGGGGTCTTGCTATGTCACTCAGACTGGTCTTGAACTCAAGTGATCCTCCCACTTCATTCTCCCAAAGTCCTTGGATTAAAGATGTGAGCCACCACTTCTGGCCTGTCTTGATAACTTTAAAGCTTTATATTAAGTAAATATCTCCAAACA
The DNA here is from genome assembly GCF_000001405.40 of Homo sapiens. Classification (NCBI taxonomy): domain Eukaryota; kingdom Metazoa; phylum Chordata; class Mammalia; order Primates; family Hominidae; genus Homo; species Homo sapiens. The sequence continues at coordinate 30,635,070 of NC_000002.12, read as the reverse complement.
CAAAAGCCACAAAGCCACATGTAACTCTGTACTTCTTGAGTAGAAGAGCCAAATTCTGTGCAGGTAGAAGAACTGATTTCTCATATCCTATCAAGACCTTCTGGCACCATGGCCTCTGGCACAGGGAGCCAGTACCAACAAACAACTGAGCTTCTCCGTATAGGGAACAGGTGAAAGAGGTTAGCATGGCCTTGGGGCTTGGTTCATATGAAACTGACAATAATGAAATGGATAGTCAAAAGTTGAGATGTGCCTCTTTCATTTACCATTTATAACTGGGCTAAAATACTGTAATCTGTAAAGAAAAAAATGTACCTGCAGTTACGAAGGATTTATACTGCCTTTAAATCTTTTGGCATGAAAACAACAGACTTTTAAATAGGCAAATTAAGGTGGCTGTCACCAGTAAAAGCCATTTTTAAAAGATCTCATTGCTTTTTAGATGCTTTAAATTATTATTTATTTTTATTTTGAGATGGAGTTTTGCGCTTGTCGCCGGCTCACTGCAACCTCCACTCCTGGGTTCAAGTGATTCTCCTGCCTCAGCCTCCCGAGTAGCTGGGACTACAGACGCACACCACCACGCCCAGCTAATTTTTGTATTTTTAGTAGAGATGGGGTTTCACCATGTTGGCCAGGCTGGTCTCAAACTCCTGACCTTAGGTGATTGGCCCACCTCGGCCTCCCAAAGTGTTGGGATTACAGGCGTGAGCCGCCGCGCATGGCCAGATGGTTTAAATTATAAATCTAGATGCTGTCTATTCTGTCATCTGTCTATACGGGCTTTAGAAAACGGGTTCGTTCTGTTTCAGACACTGTGACTATTGGAAAGTTTCATATTTTAATATTTTATAAAGCCAGCACTGTGTTAGAACAACCACACTCACTTGGGCCCATAGTTGTTTATACCTTGGAAGAATGAAGCACTTGCTTAATATTTCAAATCTTAATTTTTAGTCTCAGAGTGAGGAAATCTTGAGTACTTTATTCATGTTTAAGTTACAGAAGCTTACAGGCTATAACTGAATTTTACAAATGTAATATCCAGCATGAAGTGTCTCTGAGCACATCAAGCTGAGCCCACGACTATTATAAGAGTCCCAGCTCACTGAGAATGGGAGGGAGCCCAAATCCTTACACATCTGTACGTTTAAAACAAAAGAATGGAAAGAGGCTTTTGTAGTCTCTACATGCATAGTACAGTGAAGAAATCCTGGTTTGCTCATGCCTAAGTATCAGATCCAATTATATAGTTCAATGACAGAATAACACAATTTTTTTAACTCAGTGATCTCATAACAACTAAAATTTTTCTTTCTCCATTCCACAATCAAATATATGCAGACTATATAAACATGTAACTTATTTTATTTATTTATTTATTTTGAGATGGAGTCTCGCTCTGTCCCCTAGGCTGGAGTGCAGTGGCGTGACCTCGGCTCACTGCAACCTCCGCCTCCCGGGTTCAAGCAATTCTCCTGCCTCAGCCTCCCAAGTAGCTGGGACTACAGGCACACACACCACGCCCAGCTAATTTTTGTGTTTTTAGTAGAGATGAGTTTTACCATGTTGGCCAGGATGGTCTTGATCTCTTGACCTCGTGATCCGCCCGCCTCGGCCTCCCAAAGTGCTGAGATTACAGGCGTGAGCCACTGTGCCCGGCGACATGTAACTTATTTAAGATTACATTTTAACACCTGCTTTAAAAAAATTAAAATAAAAATCTATTTTCTATTTTCCAGATCTAAATTCATGAATCTAACTGCATGGATTAGAGTTTTGAGTTAAGTAGCTTGTCATCTAAGATGCATTTGAGTTGAAAGGAAATGCTGAGGCTGCTGATTTTGTACATTGTTTTTCAAATTAAAAAGAAAAGTTACTCTAAGAAGATAAAACTTGGATTTAGTAACTCAGCAATCATTCACTGTGCCACGTTGACATGGACATGTAACAGTACATAGCTAGTAATAAAGCATGACAGATTGGCACTAGTCAGTACATTTTGAAGAACAGTCTTGAATGGATTGATTCAGATATATTTAGACTAAAAATACCAATAAATAATATACCTTTCAGCTTCAAAATAAAAGGGTATGCATGAAGCACTTAAAACCAACTGGTATTAAGGCTCAAACAGTACCATTTTCTTTGAGTATTAAAATACTATTGTTTCCTACTAGGAACATTATTAATTTCCCCTTCTACATAAGTTGAATACTTAAGGAACAAAAGGTGCAGTCAGGCAGCTCTCAGTCCTGCCTTTTACCAGCTCTACGGCTTTGGCATGCTCACTATAAGCCTTGGCTGTAAATGGACACAATAGTCCCTACCCTCGTAGGGTTTTGTGAAGAGCAAATGGGATATGGACTTTACAGTGCTTAGAGAAGTGTTGGGCACATACTCTTCACAGGTTGTTCTTGTTGTATCATCATTATTCTTCCTCTAGGTGGGATAATCACCATTACCACTTGATGTGAATTTAGATTTAGGTTGCTATCCTTTACCTTCCTTCTTTCTCCTTGTCCTTTGAGAGAGATGAAGTCTGTTATAGGGCATGATGTGGTTTATTCTCAACATGCAGTCCACTCCTCTCCCATAGCATAGAGGGAGAAGCAACTGTTTAGAGGACTGACTCTGGCTCTGAGCCCTATTATGTCTGGCATATATTCCTCTCCATCCCTACTAACTCACTCCTTAGACATTTTAAGTTGTCCCATGGCATTCAGAATTGGAAGTTGATGATCTGTGCTCTAGGATCATTGGCCACCTGTCCCATCTTTTGTTGTTGTTGTTTTTTATTAAGTCAAGGATAGTACTCAATCTTTTTCTAAATAAGAACCATTTTGAGCTTCAAAGTTAACCTTCAGCTGGAAAGTTAAAACTAAAAATGGTATACTTGTGAACAGTCTTGCTTATTCAATTTCAATTTGATTCTTTACACATATTTTTAGAGACACCTATTTTCACATTTCTATCCTAAATCTGTTGCACTGTTTGTGTTTTGTATAAATGGTGAATCTTTTCAGTGCTGTTTATCTCTCCCAATGAATACTGGTTCTCTGGATCTTCAAAACAAGTTTAATTTTCCAGATAGAATAAAAATATGTCAACATGTTCCAAAATTTGACTTTAACACATTAATAGATCACTGAAAATCTGAATAACAGTATGCACTTGCTGAGGCTGGAGTTAAAGAAGCAATGTGAAATTTAAATCACAGCTCTTGGAACTCTCATATATAAAAAAATGAATAGCCCCAAGTGCCTAGCTATTAACAGTACTTATCTACTATGTCTATATTTTACTGATAATTTCTACAATTTAAAACCGTGGAAAGTCAAGGCTGAGTACATGTTAATTTCAAGCTTCTTCAGTGAAAACATCTGAAATTTGCAAGGAATATTTTTCACATAATGCATTAAAAATAAAAGGAAAAGTAACTTTGCTACTATACTGAGCTTCCTAGCAAGTGTGATAAACATTGACCTCTACTGGATCTGGCAACATCTTGATACTTCAAGGGCATCATATAAATTATAATCACACTGGCCCTTCAGCACCCTGAATATTTCCTTTGTGAGAGATGCCAAGTGTGGTGTAGGGCATGCTGTGGTTTATTTTCTAACATTCAGTCTACTCCTCTCCCATAGCACAGAAACATAGCCTTTAGGATACTGACCTGAGCTAATCATGGCAACCCTATATCCGTTACTGGGGACTGGTTCAGGAATAAGTTCACTACTCAATTTGGGACAATGAGACATGAGAGGAGTATGTCTAGGGCTTCTAGAGAAAGTTGTCTTGCTCCCAAGAGAAAGCCCTAAGAAAACCACATACAGAAAGCCACAAGAAAACCACATACAGCTGACACCATAGAGGTCAGAATGGAGATAGAAGGTACCAGGACCTAGCTCAGATGGCTGGGTGCCAAAATCTAACCTTTAAACATAACCTATTGCTAAAGTTGTGGCTGTGTCAATGCATTTCCTTACCTTTCAACCTGGTTTAAATCAGGTTTTTGGCTATAAGTAGTTAAAGTATGCTAACTGATACAGTATCAACTGGTGGGAGTTAATCATCAATTACAACTTACAGGAGAAATTTTTGGCATTTTCTGTTTTTGAACAGGCTTTCTATTTCTTTTGAGTGTTCTATTTACCATCTACTGTTACCCTAACAGCATGCAAATCTCTGACTGATATATATGTGGACCCTAAGGAAGCATTTCTCCAGTATCACCTTAAAGATTCATACTTTATTTCAAAGTACATTTTGGCTCATATGAGGTCAAGTCCCTTTTAAGTGACTCAATGCCATTCATCCTAAAAAGCCAATGCTGAGAAATGGACTTCTCTCAGGTGAAGAGTCAGGGTTCATAAAAAACTACAGATAGTCCTACATGTGGGCCTTCAAGATTATTTGAAAAAAGTAGAAGGCTGTTTTCTCTGTGCTTCATATTTAGACATAAAATTTTATATTAGCATTATCACTTACTTTTTTCATGTGATACTTTCTCTGAATTCAAAAAATATTTCCCTTATTACAAAAGGTAATAGAAGTTACTATAGATAAATGAAGAAAATGCAAGTTAAGTCTATAGAAGAAAAAAACTTGAATCATACCAACTGATTTCCTTCAGGTATATATCCTTCCATTTGTTTTTTCCTCCCCAAAGTTCAGGTGATACTTATTCACATAAAACACCTATGGAAGTGGATATTGTTATAGACAATTGTATCCTCAAGATTCTTATGTTGATGCCCTAACCCCCAATGTGACTATACTTGGAGATAAGCCTTTAAAGAGGTAATTAAGATTAAATGAGGCAAAAAAGGTGAGGCCCTGATCCAGTATGACTGGAGTCCTCATAAGAAGAGGAGGGGACACCAGGAATGTTCATGTCCAAAGAATATCACGTGAGGACACAGTGAGAAAGTGGCCATCTGCGAGCCATGAAGGAGAGGCTTCAGGAAAAGCTGACCTCGCCAACACATGATCTTGGTCTTCTGGCCTCCAGAACAGTGAGGAACTAAATTCCTTTTGTTTAAGTCACTCAGTCTCAGTCTGTGTTATCTTGTTATGGCCTCTCTAGCAGACAAATACGTACATAACATGTACCTTAAAAAAAAAAGATCTAGAAATGGAACCATACTGTAATACTGTCATATAATTTATTTTTCGTGCATCTTTCCATCGATGCTGTTAAAGACTTTCTAAAACATGTTATAGATGCACAATATTTGATGATATAGATATCACATTAAAAAAAGTTTTCATATTTCTAAGTTTTTTCCACAAAAATCACGTTTAAATAGATACCTTCATAAGCTTAACTAAAAAGGATATGAACACCTTAACAGGCTTTAGCTACATGTCGGAAACTGACCAGAAACATCAATTTAAATGCACACCAAAAATGTATAACAGTGCTTTCCTTTTCACACTCTTACTAATGCTTGGTATTGTAATTTAAGAAAATTGCCCAAGTATATAATTTTTTTTTGTTTTTTGAGATGGAGTTTTGCTCTTGTTGCCCAGGCTGGAGTGCAATGGCGCGATCTCAGCTCACTGCAACTTCCACTTCCCGGGTTCAAGCGATTCTCCTGCCTCAGCCTCCCAAGTGGCTGGGATTACAGGTGCCCACCACCATGCCCGGCTAATTTTTGTATTTTTAGTAGAGACAGGGTTTCGCCACGTTGGCCAGGCTGGTCTCGAACTCCGGACCTCAGGTGATCCACCTGCCTCAGCCTCCCAAAGTGCTGAGATTACAGGGGTGAGCCACCATGCTCAGCCTCATTTTGTATTTTTATGTCTTTGATGAGAAAAAATAAGTTTATTGGAAAAACACTGTGGTAATATAATTTATTTGTCATCTTCTTATGACTTTGCAAGAGTTCTTTACCCTCTACCATATATAGAGTAAATGTTTTCTACATACTAATTTTGCCATATAGCCACTCTTGAGTTTATTTTGTTGGATTTGCTCCTCTGTAAATGCAGCTTCATTTTCTTTATCCATTTTCTATAAGTTGTTTGTCTCTATCTAGTCAATTTGCAAAGTCCCTTCTTTATCACAGATTATTAGTCCTCTGTACACTGTGTTGCAAGTATTTTTATAAATCCATTATCTATCAATTGACTTCATGGCATCTTTTCCAACCCATGTGTGTGTCTAGTCAAGAAAATTTCTGTTATAGCTTCTGGATTCCTAGTTTTGTCTGTCAGTCCCTAATATACATGTATCCTATATTTCTCTGAAAGATGAAATACGTTTTTTTCTTTTAGCCTTATAATCCAGCTTTACTTTCTTTCAAATGGATATCAGTTTTTCAAGCAAAACAACTCCTCGTTTCTCCTTGTACTGAAATACCAAGTTGGTATTTCAATTATGGCACCGATCTCCTTTCCTCTTGTATTAAAATACCAACTTGGTCATTTATTAAATTCTCACATATATAGATATCTAGTTTCCCTTCTCTCTTCTGCTCCACTGATCTGTGAGTATTCTTGCTTCAAGATCACACTGTTTTCCTTAGTGACTCAATATCTGGTAAAGCAAGTGTGCCTCTGTGTTCTTTTTCAAACTATACTTGGCTTCTCCTGGAACAACTGTTTTGCAATACAAACTTGAAGAGCATTTAATTCAATTCCAAAACAAATACCTTATATCCCTCCCAAAAAACCTGTCCTGCAATTGCATTTGCATTATATTTACATAACAGTTTTGGAAGAATTGGCAATTTTATATCCTCTTCTCAACCAAGAAAATGGTATGCTTTTTCTTTCCTTTTGCTCAAATCTTATTTTATGTCTTCTAATAAATTTCAGTTTTCTTCACATAGCTTCTGTGATGTTTTTTAAAAAATTTATTCCTAAACAATTTCATAATTTTTATCACATAATTGTGAATAGAACATAATTGTGAATACAACATGTGTTTCTATTTCTGTTTTTAGGTAATCACTGCTAGAATAGGGACAACTCTATTGTTGTATATATATAGCCAACTTACAAATTTTTTTTATTGTAATTGAAATTTTACTAGACTTTTTGACCTTATAGATTGCAGCAAAAACAGTTTTATGGTCAATTTTCCAGTCTTTTGGTAGTTTTATTGCTTTCATTAACATTTACTTAAAGTTTTGAATTTAAAATGTGAGTTTTAAAATGAGATCTTTAGCATATAAGATGCTGACTGCTGAGTTTTGGTAAAAATCATATTAAAGTAGTTAACTTCTATTTTATTTTCCTAGTGTTTATTAGGAATGGCTTGACTTTATCAAATATCTTTTCAGCATCTAAGAGTAGAATGTTTTTTTAAAAGAAAATATTAGTCAAAGACCTGTATGAACCAGTCTTTGTAGTTAAAAGGAAAAAAGAAAGAAATCCAAAGAGAAATTGAAAAATAATAAAATTATAGTGTAGGCTTCACTATTTCTACCATAACTGAACAACTCCAGTGATAAAAACTAGTTAAATAAAGGAACTGAATAGCTATTGATAAATGTGACTTAATAGATTTATACAGACCTGTGAGAAAACATTTTAAATGGTCCATTTTTAAGGCATAGTAAGTCTAAGTACGGGCAGCTAGCCTGCGAACATAACAAACTGCATGGCTCATGCACCTAGAAGGTCACAAAATAAGGAAACAGAATGTAGAGGAGGGGTCAGCCTCTAAAAGCGAAGAAAGTTTCGTTATTGGGAAATCGAAACTTAAGTGGGGAAGGGGACCAGGGTATAACCTTATAAGGCGGATAATGAGACTTAGGTGACATCAGAGAAGATTGTAACCCCAGAGTACTCGACCAATGGGGAACTGGGGGAGGGACTTGTGTGCTAGGAGATAAATTATCTGTTGTAGCTGGCCTGGGTGTGCCTGCCCACCAGACACCCCATCTTGCAAGATCGCTATTAAAATAAGTCTCACTTTTGCTGTTCTTTGTGCCTCTAAGTCCATTCTTTGGGTTTGGATGGGTGAGTGTGTTTCTCACAGACCCATCTGATACTCAAAAATATTTTAAAGGTATCAGTAACCATGAGCATTTATAAAAAATCTGATTACTTACCTAGTGGCAAGACAATTTAAACACATTTTGTAAAAACTGAGACTTTATGATGCACATTCTCACATCAAGATTCCATAAAAATAAATAATAAAATATTCCTCTTTTTAAAAAAAGTTTAGATAACCCATGGATAAAAGATAAAATCAAAAGGAAAATTACGAATTATCTAAAAAGCAATGAAAAAGAGAATCTATAGGATACAATGAAGACTGCAATAGAAAGAAAAATTTATGACCTTACATGCTTCATTACTAAAGAGGAAAACTGAAAAAGAGAAACTACTCATATTGAAAATTAGAGGGAGAAAAAAAAGAATACAAATGGAAAGAGAAAGAGAAAATTACTAAAGATAAAAAGCAGTACTTAATATAATAAAACTAAAAAATAAATGCAGAAGTTAGTTATTTGACAAGATGAGTAAGATACTTAAACCCTATGGATCTGACTGAGGGGAAAAAGCATAAGTATTTAAGATTACATACAGTAAACTAAAATCATAAATACAGAAGAGCTTAAAGGATTACGAAAACATGAATCTACACACGTGAGAAAATCACAAAGACTTGTATACAACATATATACATGTGTAAATTCATGTACTCATAATCCTTTACATTCATATACCTTGTTTTCATTATCATTTTTCAGACAGGGCATTCAAAATTCAATGTGAAAACAAGAGCAGTAACAAAGTATATTTTATCTTACTGTTGGGCCCAACAAATTTGTTTACAAGTTGCCAAAACCCCTGCAAATGAAACAACAAAAGCCTAAAAGAGGCATGAGCATGTGCATAATCTACTAATTTGCTGGTCTTTGAAATAAATGAGACCAGAGACAGCATATTATTATAGTTTCTATGTTCTGATGTTAGGATTGAAGGTGATTAATGAAGCACGTGGCTATTACTATTTATTGAGTGCCTCTGATGTGCCAGGCATTATTCATGCCACAAATTATCTACAGAGCACTCACGGTGCCAGTCACAGCTGTAGTCATCTGGGGTACATGGGTGAACAGAAAAAGAAATGCTTGCCCTTACAGTTTATCAGTGCACACAGTCACTTTTAAGTATCGTAAGAGCCCTTGAGAAATTATCTTTCTTTTATACTTGCAGAAACTGAGCCACAGAGAAGTCATTTGTTGAAGATCAGTTAGTGGTCACTTATCGTATGACTCTAAAGCCTTTCCACTATGCTACTTTACTTTCTAAAAATGGCATATTAAGAACAGGAGCTACAGAGTCAGACTGACCTGGTTTTGTACCCATCAAAACTATAGCAGACTGTTTAAATTACATTCTTGTAAATCTACAAAATATATAACAATACAGATTAACCCTGTAAAAATATGCCCCAATATAAAGTCTAATGTTATTAATCTCCCTACCATCTTTCTGTGTGATTTTGCATATAACAGAGTTTACTACAATTTCTTTCTTTTCTCCATTGAGAGGAAAAGTAAATTTGGCTGAAGATGGGATATTATCAGTGAGGTAGGGGGCAAGCTGCTGTCTTCAGGAGTAAGACAATTAGAGAGTAGAAGGTCTCTGGTAAGTTACAGATAGCAGTTTTGTCTTTTCCATGGCCCTGGTTGTAATAGCTCTCATTTCATTTCTAACTGAGCTTATTTGGATCTTCTCTCTTCATTTTTTGGTTAATCTCACTAATGGTCTACCAATTTTATTTAACTTTGCAAACAGCCAGCTTTTTGTTTCATTTATCTTTTGTATTTTGTGTTGTTTCAATTTCATTTAGTTCTGCTCTGATCTTGGTTCTTTTCTTCTGCTGGGTTTGAGTTTGGTTCTTGTTTCTCTAGTTCTTTGAGGTGTGACCTTAGATTGTCTGTGCTCTTTCAGACTTTTTGATATAGGCATTTAATGCTATGAACTTTCCTCTTAGCACTGCTTTTGTTGTATCCCAGAGGTTTTGATAGGTTCTATCACTATTATCATTCAGTTCAAATAATTTTCTAATTGTTGACCTGATAATCATTCCGGAGCAGGTTATTTAATGTCCATGTATTTGCATGGTTTTAAGGGTTCCTTTTGGAGTTGATTTCCAGTTTTATTCTGTTGTGGTCTGAGAGAGTACTGGATATAATTTCATTTTTCTCGAATTTATTGGGACTTGTGGCCTATCATATAGTCTATCTTGGAGAATGTTCCAGGTACTGATGAATAGAATGTATATTCTGCAGTTGTTGGGTAGAATGTTCTGTAAATATCTGTTAAGTCCATTTGTTCTAGGGTATAATTTAAGTCCACTGTTTCTTTGTTGACTTTCTGTCTTGATGACCTGTCTAGTCTGGTCAGTGGAGTACAGAAGTCCCCCACTATTATTGTGTTGCCATCTATCTCATTCTTAGGTCTAGTAGTAATTGTTCTACAAATTTGGGAGCTCCAGTGTTAGATGCATACATATTTAGGATTGTGATAGTTTAATGTTGGACCAGTCCTTTTGTCATCATATAATGTCCCTCACTGTCTTTTTTAACTGCTGTTGCTTTAAAGTTTGTTTTGTCTAATATAGGAATAGCTACTCCTGCTCACTTTTGGTGTCCATTTGCATGGAGTATCTTTCCCACCCCTTTACCTTAAGTTTATGTGAGTCCTTATTTGTTAGGTGAGTCTCTTGAAGACAGCGGATACTTGGTTGGTGAATTGTTATCCATTCTGCCATTCTGTATTTTTTAAGTGGAGCATTTAGGCCATTTACATTCAATGTTAGTACTGAGATGTGAAGTACTATTCTATTCATTGTGCTAGTTGTTGCCTGAATACCTTTTTTGTTTTCTTCATTGTGTTATTGTTTTATAGGTCCTGTGAGATTATGCTTTAAGGAGGTTCTATTTCGGTGTATTTTGAGGATTTTTTCAAGATTTAGAGCTCCTTTTAGCAGTTCTTGTAGTGCTGGCTTGGTAATGGCAAATTCTCTCAGCATTTGTTTGTCTGAAAAAGACTGTATCTTTCCTTCAGTTATGAAGCTCTTAGTTTCGCTGGATACAAAATTCTTGGCTGGTAATTGTTTTAAGAAGGCTAAAGATGGGACCCTAATCCCTTTTAGCTTGCTGGGTTTCTGGTGAGAAATCTGCTGTTAATCTGATAGGTTTTCTTTTACAGGTTGGTTTCCTGATGCATTTGCCTTACAGCTCTTAAGATTCTTTCTTTCATCTTGACTTCAGATAACCTGATGACTATGTGCCTAGGCGATGATCTTTTTGCAATGAATTTCCCAAGTGTTCTTTGAGCTTTTTGTATTTGGATGTCTGGATCTCTAGCAAGGCCAGGGAAGTTTTCCTTGATTATTCCCTCAAATGTTTTCCAAACTTTTAGATTTCCCTTCCTTGGGAACACCAATTTTTCTTAGGTTTTGTTGTTTAACATAATCCCAAACTTCTGGGACGCTTTGTTGTTTTTTTTTTCCCCCATTCTTTTTCCTTTGTCTTTGTTGGACTGGGTTATTTCGAAAGCCTTGTCTGAGCTCTGAAGTTCTTTCTTCTACCTGTTTGATTCTATTGCTGAGACTTTCCAGTGTACTATGCATTTCTCTAAGTGTGTCCATTTCCAGAAGTTGTTTTTTATCTATGCTATCTATTTCTGTGGACGGTTTTCTGTCCATATCCTGTAACATTTAAAAAATTTCTTAGGGCCAGGTGTGGTGGCTCATGCCCGTAATCCCAGCACTTTGGGAGGCCAAGGCGGGTGGATCACAAGGTCAGGAGATCGAGACCATCCTGGCTAATAAGGTGAAACCCTGTCTCTACTAAAAAATACAAAAAATTAGCTGGGCGTGGTGACAGGCGCCTGTAGTCCCAGCTACTCGGGAGGCTGAGGCAGGAGAATGGCATGAATCCAGGAGGCGGAGCTTGCAGTGAGCAGAGAGCACGCCACTGCACTCTAGCCCTGGCGACAGAGTGAGACTCCGTCTCAAAAAAAAAAAAAAAAAAAAAAAAATTCTTTGAATTGGTATTCACCTTTCTCTGGTGCCTCCTTGAATAGCTTAATAGTCGAACTTCTGAATTCTTTTACAGGCAATTCAGAGATTTTGCCTTGGTTTTGATCCATTACTGGTGAGCTAAGGTGATCTTTTGGGGCTCTTAAAGAACCTTCTTTTGTCATATTACCAGAATAGTTTTTCTGGCTCCTTCTCATTTGGATAGACTATGCCAGAGGAAAGATTGGGGGCTCAAGAGCTGCTGTTCAGATTCTTTTGTCCCATGGGGTGCTCCCTTGATGTGGTGCTCTCCCCCTTCCCCTAGAGATGAGGCTTCCTGAGAGCTGAACTGCAGTGACTGTTACTTCTTTTCTGGGTCTAGCCAACCAGCGGAGCTACCAGGCTTCCGGCTGGTGACTGGGAGTGTTTGCAGAGTTGTGTGATGTAATCCATTTTCAAGTGTCTCAGTCGTGGATACCAGCACCTGCTCTGGTGGAGGTATTGGGGGAGTGAAGCGGACTCTGTGAGGGTCCTTGGTTGTAGTTTTGTTCAGTGTGCTGTTTTTTGTGTTGGCTGACCTCCAGCTAGGAGGTGGCACTTTCCAGAAAGCATCAGCTGTGGTGGCATAGGGAGGATACAAGTTTGCCCTAGGGCTGTCTGGATAAGTATTTGGGTTTCTCAGGTGGTAGGAGGGACAACAGAGCTCTCAAGAAATTTATGTCCTTTGTCTTCAGCTATCAGGGCAGGTCTCAGAGAAAGACCATCAAGTGAAGTCAGGGTTAGGCTGGTCTGAGCTCAGGCTCTACTTGGGCAGGGCTTGCTGTGGCTGCTGTGGGGGATGGGGGTGTGGTTCTCAGGCCAATGGACTTATGTTCTCAGGTGGATTATGGCTGCCTCTGCTGTGTCACACAGGTCGCCAGGGAACAGTGACAGGCCTCACCCAGTTCCCATGCAGCCTGAAAGGCTGGTCTCACTCTTGCCGTGTCCCCTCAATAGCTCCAGGTTTATTTCCAGGCAGCCGGTGAGCAGGGCTGAGAACCTGCCCCAGGCTACAACCCCCCTCACTGAGAAAGCAAGCAGGGCTTTCAGGTTTTGTACCTCCCAGCCTGCCGCATCTTCTGTGATCATATCTGCACTCCCTGTTCACCATCTTCACCAGATTCCGTCCAGGAAACTTCACATTCCATCAAAGTTGTTACAAAGTTCAGCTGGAAGATTCCTTCTCCCTGTGGTCTTTCCCCAATTCCACTGGCAGTCCTCCCCAAGGACCCCTGTGAGAAAAAGTCAGAAATGGCTTCCCTGGGAATGAGAGTACCCACAGGGCTCTCCCCACTGCTTCCTCTACCCCTGTATTTTGCTTGGCTCTCTTAAATTCATCTCAGCTCCAGGTAAGGTCAAATCCATCTCACAAGATCTGGACCTTCGGGTTCCCCTTCTCACACTTTGGTCGCTCACAGTTTTTTGGCTGTCTCACGGAGCCTGCAGTAGCAAGCTGCTTCCATCAAAGGGTCTGTGGATTCTCTCAGCTTTTATGTTTCTGCAGTATTTCTTGGATCAAAAGCCCACGATGTGAGTCTCTACAGGCTGCTCTGTCCATCCAAGTCGGAGCTGAGAGTTAGTTCTGCCTCCTACCCGCCATTTTTTCCCCATCCCTTCTTGTAAGGGCACTAATCTCTTTCATGAGGGGCTCCATTTTTATAAGCTAATTTCCTCCAAAGGCCCCACCTTCTAATAAATACGTCACATGGGAGATTGAGGCCTCAATATAGGAATTTTGGGGGAACACAAACGTTCACTCCACAGCAACATCAAAACATTCATTGTAGTAGTAACTTTTTGTTTAAATTCAATTAGAACATGAGAGTCAACATCTGGATGAGTAGTTACTGATCCTAAAATTTAAGCAGGGAGAATAACAATACATGAGGGGTAAATAAGGACTTTCAGTGGGTTGAATAGTGTCCTATCAAGATACCTGGCCACCGGAACTTCAGAATGTAACCTTACTTGGAAATAGGATCATAGCAGATTTAAGATAAGGATTGAGATGAGATCATCGTGGATTCAGGTGTCTTCTAAATCCAAAAAAAGCCTTTACATATAGAAATATGGTGAAGACAGAGGCAAAGGTTGGAGTTATGCAGTGACAAGCTAAAGTATCCCAGGAGTTGCTAGAAGCTGGAAAAGGCAAGGAAGGATTCTCCCCTAGAGCCATGGGAGGGGTTTGTGGACCTGTCAGCATCTTAATTTTGAATTTCTAGTCTCCAGAACTATAAGAAAACGAATTTTTTATTGTTTTAAGCCACGAAGTTTGTGGTAATATTTTATGGCAGTCTAGAAAACTAATACAGTATTAAGAAATATCTAATGACAAGGATTGCTTTTTTCGTAGTCTTGATTTTTGAGGAAGGAAATTTCTTCTAAAGTTTTATTGCAGTTTTGAATTATAAAGTGGCATATTTTGAGAAGAAGGAAGCATGATCACCCAACTATTATAAATAGCTATATGCAAAATGGAGACTTCTAATTTTCTAAATCTGTCTGAACAGGTGAACTGCAGGTTCCTATGGAAAATAGGTTCCTATGGAGCTGCCATTTTACAGCAGTTACTACAAACTACAGAGATCTGTTCCTTAGTTGAGGAAGAGAGGCTATATGACAGTAGTTCTCAAACTCTAGTAGCCTAAGAATACTTGGGGAATTGAAAATGAAGAGTTCTGGGCTTCATTCCCAAAGACTCTCCCTTAGTTCACACGGCTGGGATGAGGCAAACTGTATTTTAGCAAGCACTCCAAGAGATGATGATCACATACAGGGGCTGGAAAGGCCACACTGGGGAAATAAATACTGGGTTATGGGGATAGTTCTAAGCAGAGAGGACCATGGGAAGTTGTATTCAAGAGCTGGGTTCTGGAATCAGATAAAACCCTAGGTTTTTTTGCTTAATTCCACTCCTTGCTGATGTATGGCCCTGAGAAACATACATAACCTTGGGGAGGATTAATTGAGATTATCCTTAGTAAGTGATCAACGAATGTTGCCTATTAAAATTATTTTAAAATTTATTTAAGGCAACAACAATTTTAACTTACAGGACAGAGTGAATTACTCAGTAATAACAGTTAACTACCATAACTTGTGCTCATATAGCAGGAGATTTGTTTAGGGCATTGAAAATAGTTTATTCCCACTTTGGAACCTGGGAGATAAATCTTGCTAGATATGATTCTGGATAACTCTGGGACACGAAATGACTAAGGATTGGGGGGAAAAACTTAAAGGGAAGAAGGCAAAGATAAGCTCTGCCAATACTGCAATTTTGCCTGAAGATCCTCGTGGCTTCTAAGTTTACCACTCAAAATGAATTCTTGCTGCATTTGGCATGCTCAGCTTATTAATGACAAAGTTATTTACCTGGGCTGGGTTGAATAGTGGCCTTCCTGACCTCTAATTCAGCCCAGTTTTTCAGTTAATCCCAATCCTTTATTCACAAGGAAAACAACCAGAAATTCTTTTAAAAATAGGTGCATGAGTAAAGTATCTTTTTTATTAGCACTAGAATATCTTGTAAAGTTTCATATTTGTAAAAACCTTTATTGGTGGGATAAGATGGAAAGTGAAGGTGGCAAGGAATGCAGATACCTTATAGAGGTTTACTGACTAATGCCAGGGTGAGCTGGAAAGCAGATCTGGTGGTCTGGAGCCTGAATCCAAAAGAGAATGCTATGGTTTTGGTGTTAGAGCCATGTGGGGAAGTAAGTTTCATATTACCATCTTTTCAACACCAGTATTCACTCAGCTAGGGCTGTAATTACTAGCGAAATTTTTATCTAGTTCTAGTGTCTATAAGTAGTATATAAAGATACAAGGTTAATGTATAATCAAAACCAGTGGTTCTCAACCTTTTTCCTACTCCTAGCAGCTCACTAGGGCAGAGATGCTCAACCAGGGATTACGTAGGAAGATGTGTTTGAAAAATTACCCAAGTCATTAGGTGTACTATTCTTGGTCTTCTAAATTCCTCATGTCTAAAATAACATTAAGAAGCCATATAGCTCTACTATAGCACTTGTTACCAGACTTGTTACCATCTACATGATAGCACTTGTTACCAGACACCTGGCACTAGAGATTCTAATCACTGCAATAAGGCAAAAACAAAAAAGGGCATACAGATTAAAAAGGAAAAGTAAAACTCTTTATTCACAAACTATGATGTAGAGAATCCTTAGGGGTCTACAAAACTACTAGAACTGGTAAGTAGATTTAGCAAGGTTACAGGATACAAGTTCATTATTAAATCTATTTCTGGATACTAGTAATGAATAACTGAACACTGAAATTTTATTTTTTTTAACTTTTAGCTTTGGGTATACATGTGAAGGTTTGTTACATAGGTAAACATACGTCATGAGGGTTTGTTGTACATATTATTTCATCACCCAGTTATTAAGTCCAGTACCCAATAGTTATCTCTTCTCCCTCCTCCCACCCTCCCTTGTCAAGTAGACCGCAGTGTCTGCTGTTTCCTTCTTTGGAACACTGAAATTTTAAAAACACCATTTACAATATCAAAGTTATGAAACACTTGTAAATTTTATAAAATATGTGCAAGAATGCAAACTATAAAACATGACTGAGAGAAAGACCCATATAAATGGGAGATATACTATGTTCATAGACTGGAAAATTCAATA
Organism: Homo sapiens; assembly: GCF_000001405.40. Lineage (NCBI taxonomy): Eukaryota > Metazoa > Chordata > Mammalia > Primates > Hominidae > Homo > Homo sapiens. Next base: position 30,618,369 of record NC_000002.12, on the reverse strand, counting down.
TTATTAAGATTACATTTCTCTAAAATGCTCTACAGATTCAAAGTAATCCTAATAAAAACTAGTCTGCTTCTGTGTATAAATTAACAAACTGATTCTAAGTTTTATATAGATGTGCAAAGGAACTAGAATAAGAAAACAATTTTGAAAAAGAAAAAGATGGAGGCTTGGCATTAGCTGCTCATTTCAGGACTTACTATAAAGGTTCAGTAATCGAGACAATATTGTACTGGAGGAGAGTTAGACATACAGATCAATGAAACAGAACAGAGTCTAGAAACAGATGAACACAGAAAATCTTTGTGACCTGGACTAGGCAACAGTTTCTTACATAGGACATTGAAGAGCACAAATCATAAACTGAAAAACTGTACTTTGTCAAAATTAAACACATCTACTCTTCATAAGACAGTATTAAGGAAATAAAAATGCAAGCCACAGATTGGAAGATAATGTTTGCAAACCAAATATATTATAAATAACTTGTATCTAAGATATATAAAACATTCTTGCAAGCCCATAATAAAGCAACCCAATGTTTTAAATTGGATAAAAAATTGGAATTAACATATCACCAGTGAAGGTATATGAAAGACAAATAAGCCCAGGAAAAGATGCTTAAATTAACACTTTAGTTACTATTAGGGAAACATAAACCAAAACCACAATAAGATTCTAATATACATTTACTAGAATGGCTAGGTTAAAAAGGCTAACAATATCAGGTTTTGGTCAGGATGGTGAACAACTGGAACCCTCAAATAATACTAATGGACATGTAAAACAGTCTACACACTCTGGAAAACCAGAGAATGACAGCATAGGTATGTGCCCAAGAAAATATATGCCCATACAAATTCTTGTATTAATACAAAAATGTCTGTAGCAATTTTATACATAGTATCCTAAAATTGTAAATAACGCAGGTGTCTATCAGTCCATGAATGGTTAAAGAAATTGTGGCATATTCCACACAATGCAATACCAATCAGCAATAAAAAGGAATAAACTACAGATTCATGCAGCAATATGGATGAAACTTAACAGCATTATTCTAACTTAAACCAGACACAGATGACCACATACTATATAATTCCATTTATATGAAAATCTAGAAAAGGCAAAACTATGGTGACAGAAAGCACATCAGTGGGTTCCAGGGACCAACGTTCAGGGAAGGGGCCTGACTGCAGAGGTACATAGAAAACCTTTGGGGGTGATGGACATGTTTCATATTTTGACTGTGGGTAGATATGTGGCTCTATACATTTAATAAAACACATCTAACTGTACACTTAAAATGAGTACATTTTACAGCAAGTAAATTCTACCTCTAAAAGCTGTTTTTTTAAGGCGTCTCAAATATTTCCCCTAAAAAAATTTAAGTGATATCACAAATCTGTAATATGTGCTATAGTCTAAACAGAGCTTTCTAAAAGGCTGCGTGGATTCTTGTCAAACCAAAATGTTAGAAAACATTATTTAGAGTTTGAAACAAATTTATTCACATGTATGATTTCAATTTTTTTTTTTTGGTATTAGCATTTTATTTGAAACAGGATCTTTTCCTATTCATTCAAATAAGCATTAACATATCCGACAAGCTTTTCATTGTTATTTTGCATCCTTTTTCCTTTCCTGGTTAATGCAAGATATAATTCCCTAATTAAGGGATCACTTTAAGTGCAAGCTGACATTTAAAAATTTCTAGGACGTTAATTTCCTTCAGGGTCACAAATAATAACTACCATGTTTTCTTGCTACTATCTAGAAAGGAAAAAGGTTACATCAACATATTTCTGAAGCAGTTACAAATAGTTCAATTAGAATTCACAGAGAAAACAATAAAAATATTAGAAGAAAAGTGACAATGTGTCTTGCAATCAATATTTTAGAAGCATATAGCTCTAATTTATTAGATTACTACAGTAGTAGCAGGGCTTAGGTGTATCAAACAAAACAAACACATACACACACTCTTGCACCCTTCAATTCCTCCTGTAAAACTCAGAGCAAATATTACAATGACAGTATGGCATCTAATCTGTTTGATTCAGATTTGAAGGATGTATTTTTGCTTTTAATCAATACTATGATTCAGAAACTCAACACATTTGGAAACTGGTTTAAACATCCATTTCAACTTTCTCCTGCTAAGTACTCCCTCCACCAGCAACCAAAATACAACAACAAAAAAACCGTTCACTTACCATTGCAATTCAACAGCAACATTCCCTATCAGCTGTGCACATGGTGTGACAGCTTGTGTCAAAATCACCTTTGAGTAGCTTCTAATTACACATGCACAGTTCTTATAGATGAAACTGGCCTGGGTAAACTGTGAAGACTAACTCAGTGGAGACCACAACTCTCCCTCTGTCTAGTGCCCTCTACCCATTTCCAAGGTAGGGAAGGGTCTCATTTCAATCCCTTACACAAGCTGATCAATTCACTGATTATACTCCAATGTGAATAGATGTCATAAGTCTTGATCATTCAATCAGTCTGAAGACGTAACCGGCAAGTAATCTGATTTAGTACTCTTGATGTGTTTTTTGCAGTATATAATGTACCTTTCCCAGATAAATTCCTTACCACAGACTCAAAGTGCATAAGCCAAACTAGATTTGAATGCCCAGTTCCTAAGGCTTTATTTCCTTTCACTTTACACATTTACATAAGTCTTATGGAGAAAGACTTTTTGATATGTGGTGTCTCTTTTCTCCCAGAAACTTATTTGAGCCTATTAGGCACAAGTTTTGGTGGAAGTATTTAAGTTTTTCGGCAGGGAATGAAGGCTAGTGGGAGTCCTTGGTAAATTCCTGATCACTGGCCAAAAGCAGCTCCTTAGTACTGCTCAACATACATATTTCCTTAGTCCATTCTGTGTCCCAGTTGCTTGGATTTGAGGACTTCATGACTTTGCTTTTCTCAAAAACTTCCAATAACTTCCTCACTATCCTTCATTCTCATCCTATTTCACTGAGAAAATCAATCAAAAGAAATTTGCACAACTCGTACCACCCTATATACTCTCCTACTACTGTGTGAGTTCATACACTTTGCCTTCTTTTTTTCATAAGGAGGATCTGTCCACGCATGTATTTAGGGCCAATCCCTCCACCTATGTCTTCTATCTCACCTGCTCTTGCCTACTCAGGAACAGAGCCCCAGCAATTCCCCTTTAATCAGTCATTCTATCTTGACCATCAACATATTATAACTTCTCCCATCATTCCCTCTTGGCTCACCTCTCCTTCTAGTGACCACTCATCTCTGTGTTCACTTACACAGCTAAACTTCCTGAGCTGTCTATACTCACTGTCTTCAATCCTCTTTCATTTCTCTCTCGAACCCATGCCAATGAAGCTTCTGCCCTCATCATTCCACCAGAACTGTCCTCGGTGACCTTTATGTACCAAATCCAATGCCTCCCTCCCTCTTGGCTTCCTGGTCACCTTACTCTCTTGGCTTTTCCCCAACTTCACAGGCCACTCTGAAGTCTTCTTTGTGGATGGCCTGGTTCTCCGATCCCTAATATTGTACTGCCTACTATTAACTAGGCTGGGATCTTACTCTTCTCCATCCACACTCATTCCTTAGGTGATCTCTTTCAGTCTTGCAGCTTTAAATATCATATGTGGTCATGCCTACCAAATGTGTATCTCCTGCCTCTCTCCTTTCTAGACTCACATATTTACTAATTTCATAACTCCCTATGGATATCTAATAAGTAGCTCAAACTTAACATGGCTTAAATGGAACTGCTTTTTGGCCTTTCCCCCAAAACCTGTACTTACCACAGTCTTTGTTGCAGTTAAAAGGCAAAACTGCCTTTCCTTCAGTTGAGGCCAAGAACCTTGCAGTCACACTAGTTCCCTCTCATTTTCTTATACTCCACACCCGACCCATCAAAAAATCCTATTGCTTCCATGTGGGGAAAAGCAAGAGAGATCAGATTGTTACTGTGTCTGTGTAGAAAGAAGTAGACATAGGAGACTCCATTTTGTTATGTACTAAGAAAAATTCTTCTGCCTTGAGATTCTGTTAATCTATAACCTTACCCCCAACCCCGTGCTCTCTGAAACGTGTGCTGTGTCAACTCAGAGTTAAATGGATTAAGGGCGGTGCAAGATGTGCTTTGTTAAACAGATGCTTGAAGGCAGCATGCTCCTTAAGAGTCATCACCACTCCCTAATCTCAAGTACCCAGGGACACAAAAACTGCGGAAGGCCGCAGGGACCTCTGCCTAGGAAAGCCAGGTATTGTCCAAGGTTTCTCCCCATGTGATAGTCTGAAATATGGCCTCGTGGGAAGGGAAAGACCTGACCGTCCCCCAGCCCGACACCCGTAAAGGGTCTGTGCTGAGGAGGATTAGTAAAAGAGGAAGGAATGCCTCTTGCAGTTGAGACAAGAGGAAGGCATCTGTCTCCTGCCCGTCCCTGGGCAATGGAATGTCTCGGTATAAAACCCGATTGTATGCTCCATCTACTGAGATAGGGAAAAACCGCCTTAGGGCTGGAGGTGGGACCTGTGGGCAGCAATACTGCTTTGTAAAGCATTGAGATGTTTATGTGTATGCATATCTAAAAGCACAGCACTTAATCCTTTACATTGTCTATGATGCAAAGACCTTTGTTCACATGTTTGTCTGCTGACCCTCTCCCCACAATTGTCTTGTGACCCTGACACATCCCCCTCTTCGAGAAACACCCACAGATGATGAATAAATACTAGGGGAACTCAGAGGCTGGCGGGATCCTCCATATGCTGAACGCTGGTTCCCCGGTTCCCCTTATTTCTTTCTCTATACTTTGTCTCTGTGTCTTTTTCTTTTCCAAATCTCTCGTCCCACCTTACGAGAAACACCCACAGGTGTGTAGGGGCAACCCACCCCTACACTTCCACCTTAAAATGTATCTAGAATCCAGCCATTTTTTGCAACCTCACTAATTTTACCTCACTCTCCACTTCTCTTTCCTGCATTATTACAAATAACTTTCTAATTGGTTTCTCTGTTTGCCCACCTGCCCGACCTACAGATTTTTCTTAACATTACAGCCAGAGTAATCCTTTAATAATGTCAGTCACAATCTTATAACCCCTCCCCCTTCACCCCTTCTCCCCAGTGGCTGCCCATCTCAGAGAGAACACCAAACTCCCATGGTGGCCTATCTGGCAAACATTTACCTTTCTGCCCTCATTCTCTGCTACTGCTCATGTGACTTGATCTGGTCTAGCCACACTGCATCTCTTGTTCTTCTTTGAACACACTAGGCACATTCTCATCTCAGGCACGTTATTGTTCCTTCTACTAGGGATCCTCTTCCCCCAAATTCCTCTTTTCAGGGGAGCCCTGACTACCCTACTTCAGTCTTCCCTCTTCCTTGATTTATTTTCTCTGTAAGCCCCATCATCTGACATACTATAAATTTTACGTACTTATTGTCTAAATTTTTGTTTATTTTATTCATTGGTGTATTCCTGTGCTGCTTCAGTGAGCTCAGGAAATATATAAATTGAATAAGCAGAAAAGGGGAAACTGAGCTGAGCTTCTGTCTCTGGGGTACTTCTTGGCAGAGAGCCTAAGAATAGAGCCTTCCCTAACAGCCTGCAGTAGAAAGGTGCATTATGAGAGACTGTCGCTGGAAAGTAATTGTGATTAATGATCCCTCAGACCATAGCAGAGAAGGCAGACAGGAATTTGTGCTTCTGTTCTGGACATGAGACATTCTTTGCCAAGCCTTAGATACTCTGTAGTTCTGCTACTTGCAATCTGTGCAATCACTATATTATTGTTAAAGCACTGGGGTTCTTCATGAGTTGTCAGGCAAGCTGAGATAATAATGTTTCAGAGGATATACTGGGAAGTCAAGGTCACATGTATGTGGTGTTAACAGTAGGTCAACAGCACTAAATGACCAACATCTGAATAGGCACAGGGCGCCACAAGGACAGGAAGCTAGAGACCTCTTCAATGATGATAGGTGCCTTTTATAGGTTTAAGGAGCTTATGTTAGTTTGATATGCTCCTCTCTCCCTCTCCCTTCAAACCGTGATATAAATACTCTTTAGTTATGGCATATTTGACGATGTTAAACATACAGTGTTGTTTTTAAACTGAAATTCTTTCCTGACATTCTGGAATGCAATCCCCTGTGCTTGCTTCATTTTCTCTCTGATAACAACAGAAACTTCATTAAACATTCCCGAATATAGCCTCTTCATTAATTAAGGTATTACTGTAGAAGTACTTGTTTCCTAATCAACTCTCAAGACTGTGTCTTTAAATAGAACCACCAACCTCCTCACAGAAAGTCTTTTCCTCACAGAAAAGAAAGCTTCATTTTCTACTGTGCTATTTTTTTTCTTTCTATCCACAGGACACATGGGAGTCCCACCAGCTTGAAAAAAATTTCACAGAGCTGGCATTTCCATCAGTGCAGACACGGCTCTGAAAACAGTAATTGCTGCCTTATGGGCATGATACGCCCATTTCTACTCTGACCTCCTCCCAGGAGAAACTCTTCTGCAAATGACCACAGTACTTCACTTGAGTTCTGCGTCATCCTCCTCCTATTAGTTCAAGTGGTCTGCTAAGCGGTTCATGAACCACTTCCCTCAGCTGACCCAGATGAAGTAAGCTCTTCTTTGCTGCTATGCCCAGAGCCCAGACCAGTTAAGAATCTCAGCCTGACTTGGCCTGTTATCCCTCAGCTTCCAGTCCTGACTCCAAGGTACCTTCTTTCTGTAAGTCTTCAGCCTACTGACTCAGGGTCCTACCATACACACCACTGTCTTCTGAGAACAGCACACATGGGGCAGAGCAGAGTCAGGGGGAGAGAGAAAGAACAGTTAACAACTCTTAGAAACCTGAAAATAAAGAGGATACGGCTGGAAATGGGACCTCAGAAAGTTCCACATGCTAGAATGCCTTTCCTTTTGCTTTCATGGCACTCTCTTTCACCCTCAACTGAAAGTGTGAGTGTATACACACACACTCTCTGTTCTCTGGGATTTCCTAAAACTGGAGCTAAATTATAATTAGGACATTATATAGTTTATTTTCAAGAATTTTTGGTTGCAGCAAATTAGAATATATGCTTTGGTTTCATAGAATTAATTCATGTAGCTTTATCATGTTCACATAGAGCAATGCAAACTTTCTCATGCATATATAATGAAGCAGGAAAGACTATAAAAGGACCAAAAAGAAAAAAAATGGACAAAAAGGCCAGAAGAAAAATGCTAATGAGTCTGTTGACTACTGATAGGAAAAAAAAAAAAAAGCTAAAAGTAGAAGAGCAGTGGTGAAGCCAGAATTTAACAAATTAAGGGAGGAATATTGGGGGAAAGATGATCAAGGAAGAAGTGAAAAAAAAACAAAATTAAACTCAGTGTTTGGTATCTATTACATAGCCAGCATTAAAAAAACTGAAGAAAAGCACAAGGATGGTAACAGGTGAGGAAATAATAACAGTTAAGTCCAAGAAATTTTTTAAAAAGTTATATTCATGTCCGTGGAGACCCTTAATTCAGAATATATATCTATGATTTACTTGTTTTTAATAACACTGAACTTCTGGTAAAACAGAAAAGACATTAAATGTGTTGGACCAACCAGCTGGAATGAAAATTGATTCCCAAACCCAAGTAACACAAGAATGTACTAACTCTAAGCTCCAACATTATAATATAAAACAGAATCCATATTGTTTTTAATGACAGCCTGTTACAGCACTTGTGATACTCTTGAATTTAGCAGAGTGACATCAGACCTAGGCTTATATAACTATTCAAACAACAAGGTCTTAAATACCTGAGAGATCTGTTAATATAAAGATGATCTTAATATTCACAATCCTCTGGTGTTAAAAACAATTTCCACCAGACCTTGATACACAAGTGGATAAATCATGTTAAATTAAATCAGTCTGTACTTATGGAGCTATCTTAATCAGAAGGAGATTTAATGAAAAGCGTTAGCTTAGATGAATAATTATTATAGGCTAATATTTGTCCACAAAAAGAATTTGTTTCAGGATTAGACAGAGACCATGAGAAGCCAGAGGCATCAATTCAATAATGGAATGCCTAATTATAATGTATTGCTTTGCCCTGCATATAATTTATTTAGCACATTGCTTTTCACAGGGTTTATTAAGGAAACCTAAAAAAAAAAATGCAATTACTAAAGAAGGAACGAAAAAATTAGTAAACTAAAACCTTTTAAGAAATAGAGGAAGTAATATGTGACAAAGTCTAGTTATTAGAAAAATGCAGGGGGTATGGCTATGTTCAATTTGTACATGTAGAAACTGCATATTTGTCCTATATCCTTCAAAAATCGGTCATTGCCTTTATGTGCTTAAAATTATGTTAAGACATGCATTCATCACATCAAAAGTATCAATAAAGAGTTTAATAATTGCTCACTAAATCATGCTTATGATAATGATTTTAAGTCCTGTGCTAGCTACAGCTACCATGGGAGATTTAAAGACATGGAAGCAATCCTTGCCTTTTAGAAGTTTATAATCTAGTTGAAGTACAACATATAAATATGTGAAAAGTTAAGTAATAACACAGGAAACGAATACAAGTTAATAGAAAATTTTAAGAGAAGTGAGGTGAGTGTAGTAGAGAATGAACACTATGAGTTCAAAGGAGGACAGGATCACTGTGGGCTGAAATGCCTAAACAGTTATGCACACAAAAAGGCTATCCTGGTATAACACATGCATAAACTAGTTCCTTGAGATTTAGAAGAAACTGGGTCTTCACTATGGAAAATACATTCTAAAAGAATCAAGTGGTTGTGGAAAAACAAGTATCAGAATAGAGTTCAAAGCCATTCTCATGAATATATGGGGACTTAATATATGATAAAGGTAACATCACAAATCAATGGAGAATAACAGATTAAGTACACACTGTTGGAGAAAAATAAAACCAGATCCTCACACCAAACAACACATGTAAGGGACTCCAGATGGATAAAGCTGAAATGTAAAACATAATTATACAATTAACAAAAGAAAATGGAGACCAAGTAACAAGAAAGGTTTTTAAAAACCAGACTTCAAGAGCATAGGTCGTAAGATAAAAACTTCTTAATTTGATTACACCAGGAATTTCTGTTCAATGAATATGTAATAAAATAGAACATACCTGCAATGTCTAAAATTCAACAAGGGATTATATCTAGAACATAAGAACTAGTGCGAATTAACAAGTCACTATAGTAATCCCAATAGAAACACAGACAAGATATAAACAGGCAATGAATAGATGAGGAAACCCAGAAAATATCAGGCATGTGAAAATCCTTTGTAATCAGACAAAACCAAATTAAAATATACCTATTTGACTGGCAAAGAGTAGAAAGCTGGATAATACCAAGTGTTCACAGGAATGAGAGGAAACAGGCACCCTTGTGCATTGCCAGTGGGTGTTTAGAGGGGAGTATCTATTATGTAGTATAATTTGGGGCTGGTCAAATTAAGGTTACCAAACCCTATGACTCAGCAGTTCTACTCTTGGACATACAACTATGTGTCACTTGACGGGGATATGTTCTGAGAGATGTGTCTTTAGGCAATTTTTTTGTCATGGGAACATCATAGAGCATACTCACACAAACCTAGACAGTATATAGTCTATGACCCACCTAGGCTATATGGTATGGCCTGTTGCTCCTAGGCTACAAACCTGTACAGCATGTTACTGTACTGAATATTGTTGGCAATTGTAACATAATGCTAAGTATTTGTGTGTCTAAACATAGAAAAGGTATGGTAAAAATACAGTATAAAAGATAAAAAATAGTATACCTCTACAGGGCACTTACCATGAATGGAGTCTGCAGGACTGGAAGTTGCTCTGGGTGAGTCAGTGAGTGAGGGTGAGTGAATGTGAAGGCCTAGGACACCACTGTACACTACTGTAGACTTTAATAAACACTGTACACTTAGGCTACACTAAATTTATTAAAAAACTTTCATCAATAATAAATTAACCTTAGCTTACTGTAACTTTTTTACTCTAAACTTATAAATTTTTTTTTTTTTTTGAGATGGAGTCTCACTCTGTCACCCAGGCTGGAGTGCAAGCAACATCCGCCTCCCAGGTTCAAGCTATTCTCCTGCCTCAGCCTCCCAAGTAGATGGGAATAGAGGCACCTGCCACCACGCCCAGCTAATATTTGTATTTTTAGAAGAGACAAGGTTTCAACTTGTTGGCCAGGCTAGTCTTGAACTCCCGACCTCAGGTGATCCACCTGCCTCGGGTTCCCAAAGTGCTGGGATTACAGGTGTGAGTAAACTTCTAAATGTTTAAAACTTGACTCTTTTATAACACTTCGCTTAAAACACAAACCTATTGTAAAGTTGTACAAAAAGACTTTCTTTCTATCCTGATTCCATAACCTTTAATTATAAAAACTTTTTTAAAAAAAACTGTTAAAAATTAAGACACACACACACACACACACACACACACACACACACACACACACACACACACACAGCCTAGGCCTACACAGGGTCAGGATCATCAATATCACTGTCTTCACCTCCACATCTTGTCTCACTGCAAGGTCTTCAGAGGTAATAACAAGCATGGAGCTGTCATGTCCTATGACAGCAATGCCTTCTTCTGGAATACCTCCTGAAGGACCTGCCTGGGGCTGTTTTACTGCTTTTACTATAAGCAGAAGGAATACACTCAAGTAACAATAAAAAGTATAGTACAGTAACTATGTAAATCAGTAACATAGTCATTATCATTACGGTATATAATTTTATGTGCTACTGTTTTACACAACTGGTAGCATAGTGGTTTACATCAGCATCATCACAAACATGTGATGATGTCACCAGGTGATAGGAATTTTCTAGCTCCATTATGATCTTATGAGACTGCCATCATATATGTGGTTTGCCACTAACTAGAACGTCATTATGTGTTGCATGACTGTATATCCCAAAGGAATTCTTACACAGGTACACAAGAAGACATCTATAAAGATATTTCCTTGGCTGGGCGCGGTGGCTCATGCCTGTAATCCCAGCACTTTGGGAAGCTGAGGCGGGTGGATCATGAGGTCAGGAGATCGAGACCATCCTGGCTAACATGGTGAAACCCTGTCTCTACTAAAAATACAAAAAAATTAGCCGGGCGTGGTAGTGGACGCCTGTAGTCCCAGCTACACAATGGTTGAACTAATATACATTCCCACCAACAATGTAAAAGCATTCCTCTCGCTCCACAGCCTTGCCAGCATCTGTTGTTTCATGACTTTTAAATAATTGCCATTTGGACTGGTGTGAGATGGTATCTCATTGTGGTTTTGATTTGCATTTCTCTGATGATCAGTGATGTTGAGCTTTTTTTCATAAGTTTATTAGCCATATAAATGTCTTCTTTTGAGAAGTGTCTGTTCATGTCCCTTGCCCACTTTTTTAATGGGGTTGTTTTTTCTTGTAAATTTGTTTTAGTTTCTTGTTGACTCTGAATATTAGACCTTTGTCAGATGGATAGATTGCAAAAATTTTCTCCCTTTCTGTAGAATGTCTGTTTGCTCTGATGATAGTTTCTTTTCCTGTGCAGAAGCCCTTTAGTTTAATCAGATCCCATTTGTCAATTTTTGCTTTGGTTGCAATTGCTTTTGTCATCTTCATCATGAAATCTTTGCCCATGCTTATGTCCTGAATGGTATTGCCTAGATTTTTTTCTAGGGTTTTTATAGTTTTGGGTTTTTCATTTAAGTCTTTAATCCATCTTGAGTTAATTTTTGCATAAGGTGTAAGGAAGGGGTCCAGTTTCAGTTTTCTGCATATGGCTAGCCAGTTCTCCCAGCACCATTTATTAAATAGGGAATCCTTTCCCCATTGCTTGTTTTTGTCAGGTTTGTCAAAGATCAGATGGCTGTAGTTGCACGGACTTATTTCTGAGTTCTCTATTCTGTTCCATTGGTCTATGTGTCTGTTTTTGTAACAGTACCATGCTATTTTGGTTACTGTAGCCCTGTAGTATAGTTTGAAGTCAGGTAATGTGATGCCTCCAGCTGTGTTCTTTTTGCTTAAGATTGTCTTGGCTATATGGGCTTTTTGTTGGTTCCATATGAATTTTAAGAGTTTTTTCTAATTCTATGAAGAATGTCAACGGCAGTTTAATGGGAATAGCATTGAATCTGTAAATTGCTTTGGGCAGTATGGCCAATTTCACGATATTGATTCTTCCAATCCATGAGCATGGAGTGTTTTTCCATTTGTTTGTGTCCTCTCTGATTTCCTTGAGCAGTGATTTGTAGTTCTCCTTGAAGTGGTCCTTTACTTCCCTCGCTCTGCCTCCTGCCTGATCAACAGAGTGGGGAGTGGGGAGCATTAGATTCTCATGGTAGCAAGAACCCTCCTGTGAACTGTGCAAGTGAGGGATCTAGGTTGCGCGCTCCTTATGAGAATCTAACTAATGCCTGATGATCTGAGGTGGAACAGTTTCATTCCGAAACCATCCCCCCACTCCCTCCCCGAGCCGTGGACAAATGGTCTTCCACAAAACCAGTGCCTGGTGCCAAAAAGGTTGGGGACCACTGACATAAAAGATTTGCTCATCCATTTCTCTATTAGGTGCTAGATTCATCCTGATCATTTGCTAAAACTGCTATTATACCTTTCTTTCTTTAAAGGTGCAGCTTCAGAGTTGTAGGAGAGGAAATGTATATTTCACTCTTAGTGAGAATTATGTCACTGATGAAGAAATTAAGCTTTCTCAGAATTCTTTTAAAATTCATTTTAGGCTGAAATTGCCTTACATATCTAAATGTTTGAACACTTTCTTAAACACTAAAGCAGTTCTTAACAGCAATACAAAGAGAAAGTCTGAATAAACTAAAAACAATATGTAAATTGGTCTGCTTTAGAATAAATCTGCATACAGTGTCCTGCATTGGTACATTCTACAAAGGGAATTAAAGCCATGAAATTAACATTTTAATGAAGCAGACAGACTACTGACGTCAAGACTACTCACTGATTGCAGCTTCCAGGTGGCCTAATGAGATGAAAATGAAGTTTATACCTTTAGCTGGTCTAAGCAAGGGCTGTTTGGATATTATGATTGAATTTAAATTAGAAAATACGGCTGTGTGCAAACACGTTTAGGTTAGCAAGTAGTCTCTGTAAATCTCCGCACTATAAATGCTTAATTTACAATAGTTAAGGCAATACACACAAACATTTTGGTCTTTTTTCTAAAGCACTGTCCTAAAACTGGTGGGAAGTTACTGTACTTTGGAAAACACTACAATGGTTTTATCAGAATGACCCATGTTAACTGTGTTACAGGTCCATGTAATGTAACCATTAAAAGGGAGCACAGAGGTCATCTAGTGCAACCTCCCACCTGTGTGTGGGGGCGGCAAGGACACAGATGCCTTGAGGCAGCCTTTTTCCTGGCAGGCAGCTCTAATTTGTAGAAATGCTCTTATTACCCAAGGAAATTTGAGGCTGAAGTTTATCCCTCTGGGACTCCCACTCCTTAGTTTGTCCTCTAAAAACAAACAGTATGATGCTTTTAACTTCTGTGGATAACAATCCTTCAAATATTAAAGCACGGGTAAGCAAAGTACAGCCCATGGACCCATTCCACCTGTGTTTGTACAACCTGAGAGCTACGAATGATGTTTACTTTTTTTTTTTTTTTTTTTTTTTGAGACGGAGTCTCACTCTGTCGCCAAGCTGGAGTGCAGTGGCACGATCTCGGCTCACTGGATTTTTACATTTTTTTAATGGCCAGGGAAAAAAAGCGAAAGTATAATTTTATTTTACACACCTGAAAGTCCTATGAAATTTAAATTTCAATGTCCATAAATAAAGTTTTATTGGAACACATACTCATTCATTTATTTGCAGTACAACAGAATTAAGTAGTTTGGAAAGCGACCATATGGCCTGCACAGCCTAAAATATTTACTACCTGGCCCTCTACAGAAAACGCTTACCAATGCTGATTAAAAGACAGCTAGACAGCTAGACAGCTGTCAAATCTTCTCTTAGTCGTCTTTTCTCTAAGCTAAGAAGTCACAGTCCTAAAGAACATAGAAGAGATTTCCAGGCTACTGGATGCATTCCAATTATCCCTGTCCCTTGCAAGTTGCTGAAGCATGGGAAGAGGGGGCTGAAGGGTCACACTGTTGTAGCCCCAAAATGACACTCATTACATCTGCTCTCTGGCCAGAGTTAGTTGTGCCCTAATCTAAAGGCACTTGGGGACATGTGCTTACTCTGTTCTTCCATGGTCCAAATATAGTTATATCATAATTCTTGGTAAGTTCAATATTTAGTGTTTATATTATACAGCCAGGTAAATATTCACAGTATAATTATGTAGTAGCAATTACATTTCTTATTCCACAAATCATTTTTCCCTGGTTAATAATTACCTTATTTTTCTCTTTGCTTAATTTTCTAGAGACCTGTCACTAATTTATCCCCATACTCTCTGCTAGAAGTACAAATCTCCTTCCCATACATTCAAATATGTCAGATGATCTATTGCTTTCATCATCTTGGGGCCATTCTTCCTGGAACCCTTCATGTCCCTACTCTGATCAGGACTATAATCTTACATGCATGTTGCACAGCTGTCATCCTTGGATCCTCCTTCAACATAATAATCCTGGAGATTCTATTCATATGTTGTTTTCCTTGTTTCCTAAATTCTCTATCACCCTTTTTAGTTTACTCTTTTGTTACAATACATCCTTCAACAGTTCCCCAAGAAAGGTGCAAAGGAGATCTTGAATGTTTGAAAATGCCTATTCTGTCCTCTCATTTGATTGAGAATTTGAGTATGCTCAGAATTCTCCAGTTGGAAACCATTTTCCTTCAAAAAAAAAAAAGCAAAAATTGAAGGTTTCCTCCACTTTTTCTACCAGTGTTGCCTTGGACAATGTGACAGCATTCTAAGTTTTGATCTCTTTGGAAGCTTTTAGGATCCTTGCTTTGTTGCTGGTCTGAAATTTAATGATGATTATGATCTGTCTTTTTCGTTCACTGTATTGTATCTCTAGACACGCTAGGTTTTTTTAAAATTCTAAAATTATTCATTGAATAATTTCTTGCTAATTTATTCTCTGTGGCAAAGAGAAAACAATTCTCTGAATGTTTATTAATTCTCTGAATGTTTATTCTGTGCCAGATACTGTGCCACACATATTTTAAATTTCTTACATATGTTGCATTATATATTGATGCTAAATTTCTTAGATATATTATTTCACTGAAGCAGCACAATAAGAATGTTAGGTAAAGCTTTATTATCCTCATTTACCAAGGGGATGTTAAATATACCACCCTAGGTCACACAGCTAATAAGACATGGAATTATGATTCTAACTCAATTCTTTCCAGTTCTCAAATCCATGCTGTAAATTACTGTTCCGCTGTTCCTGGAAGAAAGTTGTACAATCCCCATTTCTAGACATCTTCTTATCTTTGTCTAAATGTATATGTATTCAACCAAAAGACAGGGATGGGAAGCCAGGGCTGAGCTAATACTGAGCTAGTGTGAAGAGTAGCACTCCAGGATCAACCTGCTGTCAGAGTAAATGGTCATGATGCTTAAACTTTACACCATTAGAAACACTCCTTTATTTCACACCATTAAAATAAAAGCTGATATTAAATGTGCATAATATATAGAGAGGAAGAAAAAAAGTCATTAGGAAGGAACTGATTAATCTGTTTGTGAAAAACTTGAAAGAAATGAGACAGAGAAGTGATGATTTTGGATGGGACAGAGTACAAAACAATTCCCAGTGCAGGTGTGTCTAGGCAGAAGTCTAAGATGGCCAAACAACAGCAGGATCTCAGTCAATGATGGCAGTTACTGAAAGGGTAAGGTGGGGACCACCGAAACAAAATTCACGTTGTAGCCATTTTACCAAAGGCTGGCTTCCTGAAAATTTCTCAAAGTTCTCTATAACTCTTAGAGTTAAAATACTTTGGATCTGGTATTCTGGTGCAGAAGGAGTGAACTATAACTCCTCCCAGTATGCATCTTCCAATTTGCTGGAAAGATCTAGTAAGATACACAGTGCAGAAAATGTCTGGTTTTAAAAGCTCAGCAATCTATCTGCTACACTGTTAACACAGCTACAAGCAGCATCTTTCTCAAACACACTTATCACCCCATTATTTGCCAATGAAAGCCCTACAGGTCTTTCATCCATTTGTCTATTTGATTAAATCTAACTATTGCCTGCCACCTGAAATCCTATTGAGAAAGAAGCTGGATGAAAAACAACCAAGTCTCCTACCTAACAAAAGGAAAGTCTGTCAAATGCCTCTTCCCCTCATCATATCTAGGCAGCCCACTGTTGGAGCTGGCCCCAAATGTGATTTGTTCTCAATTTTATACTACTTCTTTATTGGACTGTTTTGAAGTTTTTATAGTTTAACATTATATATATATCTATAGATATATATATCTATAGATAGATATCTATAGGATCCTTGTTTTGTTGTAGATAAATATATCTATCTATAGATATATATGACATGCCAATTAAATTATACTATTTATGGAGAACTTATATACAACATTTATGTCACTTTGTTGGTGTATCTCTGGCATTGCATTAAAGAAAGTAAACCTGCCAAAAAAGTGCTTTCATTAAAACATATTGTTTTAAAGTGCATCTATTAATCTTGGGATCTGAAGCTTGCACTGCTGACCATGAGTCTGTACTAAATTAGTCATATTCATGTGAATACTGAAAGTATTTGTTGGTGGGATATCAACTGGCCCACATGGGATTATAACCCACAATCTTGGTCTTATTGGTCCTTAACCAAAATAAATAATACACTGAAGTGTGAAGTTAGTGTTCTGCTTCGTTGTTTTACCACTTTAATAATTATGTTCACTTACAAAGCAACTTACTTAGTGTTGAAAAATGGCCTAGAAATATTACAACAGCTCTTGGCATGTAGAAAAGTAATAACATACAGTATTCAAATTTAGAATCCCAAAATTCAGGAGCTCTTTTGCAAAACTATACAGATTATTTGAAACCCTTGTTATAAATATCACCTTGTTACTATGGGTAATAATGAACTTCACTGAGTTAAAGGAGTACGTTCTAAACCAATGCAAAGAAGCTAAGAACCATGATAAAATATTACAGGAGCTGTTAACCAGAATAACCAGTTTAGAGATGAACATAAATGATCTGATGGAGCTGAAAAGCACAACACACAAACTTCACAATGCAACCACAAGTATCAATAACTGAATAGATCAAACGGAGGAAAGGATCTCAGAGCTTGAAGACTATGTTGCTGAAATAAGACAGGCATTTAAGATTAGAGAAAAAAGAATTAAAAGAAATGAACAAAACCTCCAAGAACTATGGGATTATATAAAAAGACCAACCCTATGACTGACTAAGACACCTGAAAGAGACAGGGAGAATGGAACCAAGTTGGAAAACGTATTTCAAGATATAATCCAGGAGAACTTCCCTGACCTAGGAAGACGGGCCAACATTCAAATCTCAGGAAACCCAAGAACCCCAGTAAGATACTCCATGAGAAGTACATCATAGACCAAGACACATAATCATCAGATTCTCAAAGGTCAAAATGAAGGAAAAAATGATAAGGGCAGCCAGAAAGAGAGGCCAGGCCACCTACTAAGGGGAAGGCCATCAGATTCTCAGTGGAAACCCTACAAGCCAGAAGAGACTTGGGGTCAGTATTCAACATTCTTAAAGAAAAGAATTTCCAACCCAATTTGTTTTTATTTTTGAAGTGTTTGTTTTTCATATCTCTGTGTCTTTCACTTCAACTCTGATCTTGGCTATTTCTTGTCTTCTGCTAGCTTTGGAGTTTGTTTGCTCTTGGTTCTCTAGTTCTTTTAGTTGTGATGTTAGGATGTCAATTTGAGATCTTTCTAGCTTAATGTGAGCATTTAGTGCTATAAATTTCCCTCTTAACACTGCTTTAGCTGTGTTCAAGATTCTAGTACATTATCTCTTTGTTCTTATTGACTTCAAAGAACTTCTTGATTTCTGCCTTAATTTCATTATTTACCCAGGAGTCATTCAGGAGCAAGTTAGTTGTTCAATTTCCATGTAGTTGTATGGTTTTGAGTGAGTTTCTTTCTTTTTCTTTTCTTCTAGACCAAACTTAAGCTTCATAAGCAAAGGAGAAATAAAATCCTTTACAGACAAGCAGATGCTGAGGTAATCTGTCACAACCAGGCCTGCCTTGCAAGAACTCCTGAAGGAAGCACTAAACATGGAAGGGAAGAACCGTTACCAACCACTACAAAAACACACTGAAGTACACAGACCAATGACACTGTGAAACAACTACATTGACAAGTCTGCAAAATAACCAGCCAGCATTATGATGACAGGGTCGAATTCAAACATATTACCTTAAATGTAAATGGGTTAAATGCCCCAATTAAAAGACACAAAATGGCAAGCTAGATAAAAAGACAAGACCCATCTCACATGCAAAGACATACATAGGCTCAAAATAAAGGGATGGAGGAAAATTTACCAAGCAAATGGAAAACAGAAAAAAGCAGGGCTTGTAGTACTACTTGCTGACAAAACAGACTTTAAACCAACAAAGATCAAAAAAGACAAAGAAGGGCATTATATAATGATAAAGGGTTCAATTTAACAAGCAGAGCTAACTATCCTATATATGCACTCAATACAGGAGCACCTAGTTTCATAAAACAAGGTCTTAGAGACCTACAAAGGGACTCTCAACACAGTAATAGTGGGAGACTTTAACACCCCTGACAGATCAAGACAGAAAATTAACAAAGATATTTAGGACTTGAATTCAGCTCTAGATCAAGTGGATCTGATAGATATCTACAGAACTCTCCACCACAAAACAACAGAATATACATTCTTCTCAGCGCCACATGGCACTTGCTCTAAAATAGACCACATAATTGGAAGTAAAACACTCCTCAGCAAGTGCAAAAGTACTGAAATCATAACAGTCTCTCAGACCACAGCACAATCAAATTAATTAGAACTCAGATTAATGAAACTCAAAGGCCGGGTGCAGTGGCTCATGTCCGGAATCCCAGCACTTTAGGAGGCTGAGGTGGGCGGATCACTTGAGGTCAGGAGTTTGAGACCAGCCTGGCGAACATGGTGAAACCCCATCTCTACTAAAAATACAAAAATTAGCCTGGCATGCTGGTGCATGTCTGTATTCCCAGCTACTTGGGAGGCTGAGGCAGGAGAATAACTTGAACCGGGAGGCGGAGGTTGCAGTGAGCCGAGATCACGCCACTGCACTCTAGCCTGGACCCAGAGTGAGACTCTATCTATCTCAAACAAAAAAGAAAAGAAAAAAAAAAAGAAACTCACTCAAAATCATACAACTACATGGAAATTGAACAACTTGCTCCTGAATGACTCCTAGGTAAATAATGAAATTAAGGCAGAAATCAAGAAGTTCTTTGAAATCAATAAGAACAAAGAGATAATGTACTGGAATCTCGAACACAGCTAAAGCAGTGTTAAGAGGGAAATTTATAGCACTAAATGCCCACACTAAGCTAGAAAGATCTCAAATTGACATCCTAACATCACAACTAAAAGAACTAGAGAACCAAGAGCAAACACACTCCAAAGCTAGCAGAAGACAAGAAATAGCCAAGATCAGAGCAGAAGTGAAGGACACAGAGATATGAAAAACACTTCAAAAATAAAAACAAATCAATGAATCCACAAGCTGGTTTTTTGAAAAAGTTAATAAAATAGACTGCTAGCTAGACTAATCAAGAAGAAAAAAGAGAAGAATCAAATAGACGCAATACAAAATGATAAGGGGATATCACCACTGACCCCACTGAAATACAAACGACCATCAGAGAATACTATAAACACCTCTGCAAATAAAAAAAAAAAAAAAGAAAATCTAGAAGAAATGGATAAATTCTTGGACACATACACCCTCCCAAGACTGAACCAGGAAGAAGTTGAATGCCTGAATAGACCAATAACGAGTTCTGAAATTGAGGCAGTAATAAATAACCTACCAACCAAAAAAAGCCCAGGACCAGACAGATTTACAGCCGAATTCTACCAGAGATACAAAAAGGAGCTGGTACCATTTCTTCCAAAACTATTCCAAACAAACGAAAAGGAGGGACCCCTCCCTAACTCATTTTATGAGGTCAGTATTATCCTGATACCAAAACCTGGCAGAGATATATCAAAAAAAGAAAACTTCAGGCCAATATCCCTGATGAATATCGATGCAGAAATCCTCAATAAAATACTGGCAAACTGAAACCAGCAGCCTATCAAAAAACTTATACACCATGATCAAGTTGGCTTCATCCCTGGGATGCAAGGCTGGTTCAACATAATGCAAATCAACAAATGTAATTCATCACATAAACAGAACTAAGGACAAATAGTTATCTCAATAGATACAGAAAAGGCCTGTGATAAAATTCAACATTCCTTCATGTTCAAAACTCTCAATAAACTAGACACTGAAGGAACGTACCTCAAAATATTAATAATAGCTGTTTATGACAAACTCACAGCCAGGATTACACTGAATGGGCAAAAGCTGGAAGCATTCCCCTTGAAAAACCAGCATAAACAAGGATGCCCTCTCTCACCACTCCTATTCAGCCTAGTAATGGAAGTTCTGGCCAAGGCAATCAAGCAAGAGAAAGAAACAAAGGGTATCTACATAGGAAGAGAGGAAGCCAAATTGTCTTTGTTTGCAGATGACATGATCCTGTATCTAGAAAATCCCACTGCCTCAGCCCAAAAGCTTCTTAAGCTGATAAGCAACTTCAGCAAAGTCTCAGGATGCAAAATCAATGTGCAAAAGTCACAAGCATTCCTATACACCAACAATAGACAAGCAGAGAGCCAAATCATAAATGAATTCCCATTCACAACTGATACAAAGAGAATAAAATACCTAGGAATACAGCTAGCGAGGGAAGTAAAGGATCACTTCAAGGAGAACTACAAATCACTGCTCAAGGAAATCAGAGAGGACACAAACAAATGGAAAAACACTCCATGCTCATGGATTGGAAGAATCAATATCGTGAAATTGGCCATACTGCCCAAAGCAATTTACAGATTCAATGCTATTCCCATTAAACTGCCGTTGACATTCTTCATAGAATTAGAAAAAACTCTTTTAAAATTCATATGGAACCAACAAAAAGCCCATATAGCCAAGACAATCTTAAGCAAAAAGAACACAGCTGGAGGCATCACATTACCTGACTTCAAACTATACTACAGGGCTACAGTAACCAAAATAGCATGGTACTGTTACAAAAACAGACACATAGACCAATGGAACAGAATAGAGAACTCAGAAATAAGTCCGTGCAACTACAGCCATCTGATCTTTGACAAACCTGACAAAAACAAGCAATGGGGAAAGGATTCCCTATTTAATAAATGGTGCTGGGAGAACTGGCTAGCCATATGCAGAAAACTGAAACTGGACCCCTTCCTTACACCTTATGCAAAAATTAACTCAAGATGGATTAAAGACTTAAATGAAAAACCCAAAACTATAAAAACCCTAGAAAAAAATCTAGGCAATACCATTCAGGACATAAGCATGGGCAAAGATTTCATGATGAAGATGACAAAAGCAATTGCAACCAAAGCAAAAATTGACAAATGGGATCTGATTAAACTAAAGGGCTTCAGCACAGGAAAAGAAACTATCATCAGAGCAAACAGACATTCTACAGAAAGGGAGAAAATTTTTGCAATCTATCCATCTGACAAAGGTCTAATACTCAGAGTCAACAAGAAACTTAAACAAATTTACAAGAAAAAAAAAACAACCCCATTAAAAAAGTGGGCAAGGGACATGAACAGACTCTTCTCAAAAGAAGACATTTATATGGCTAATAAACTTATGAAAAAAAGCTCAACATCACTGATCATCAGAGAAATGCAAATCAAAACCACAATGAGATACCATCTCACACCAGTCCAAATGGCAATTATTTAAAAGTCATGAAACAACAGATGCTGGCAAGGCTGTGGAGCGAGAGGAATGCTTTTACATTGTTGGTGGGAATGTAAATTAGTTCAACCACTGTGGAAGGCAGTGTGGCGATTCCTCAAAGACCTAGAATCAGAAATGCCATTTGACCCAGCAATCCCACTACTCGGTATATACCCAATGGAACATAAATCATTCTATTATAAAGAAAGATACATGCACGCATGTATTTACTGCAGCACTAGTCACAATAGCAAAGACACAGAATCAGCCTAAATTCCCATCAATGACAGACTAAAGAAAATGTGGTACATATACACCATGGAATACTATGTTGTCATCAACAGGAGTGAGATCATGTCCTTTGCAGGGACATGGATACAGCTGGAAGCCATTATCCTCAACAAACTAACCCGGGAACAGAAAACACTACATGTTCTCACTTGTAAGTGGGAGGTGAACAACGAGAACATATGGACATAGTTAGGGGAACAACACAGAACACACACTGGGGCCTGCCGTGGGTGGGAGTGGGGGAAAGCATCAGGAAATACAGCTAATGCATGCTGGGCTTAATACTTAGGTGATGGGTTGATAGGTGCAGCAAACCACCATGGCACACATTTTCCTATGTAACAAACCTGCATACCCTGCACATGTACCCTGGAACTTAAAATAAAATTACCTTGATATAAAGAAACTTCACATTTTCAATGTACCCATTAAGTTCAGCAAAAGCTCAAAGCAGCTAGGTGCTGAAGGATACTGGTTAAGAATGAAACAGGGAGGAATGGGTGAGAAAGGCATTGCAAACCAGGGCACAGGTTCTGGTTGGGAATGGCCATAATGTGTTCAGGAGGCACTAAGAATCCAAGTTGAGCAGAATAGGAATATGGTGGAGGCATCTTGATAGCTCAATAATGCTTGGCACATAATTACACTCAAGACATTAGTGATCTGAATGAATTACTAAAGCCTAAGAGAAGAAAACGTCTGGGTCCACTATAAAAATCAAAAAGAGGGCAGACCTAAGAGACAGACGTGGAATGGGGGAAAAAAAAACCCCCACAAAGGATAGTGGTCAGGAGGGCTGCTTTAAACCAGTAATAACATATTACAGAGCAGTCCCTAGAAAGAAAAGAGGTAAGAGACTGGAGAGTTTCAGTGATAAGAAATGGGTATGAACCAGACAACACAGGGAAAACTGATTCAAGTTTCAACGAATAAAGGATACATAATAAATCTCTTATTCACAAAAAGGCTATGATTAAAATTAATGTTTAAAAAACATAAATGAGAAGGAAAAGAGGTAAAGACAAAACCAATAAAGTCAACAGGCAATTATTTCTGGAGACCAGAATAACTGAATGGGATAGGCTTTAGGCATATGATTTATTGGGAAAATATAGGTATATATTAAAATAATGCTTATTTTATACTTGAGTAAAATATTTGAGGGTTATACAGCAAGATTCAAATGTAGCATAAACTTTGTAGATGCCTTAAAAAATATCCAATAAAATCTGCTTGGTTGTTGTTTCCTAGAGAAGTATTAATTATGCATTGTTTCATTTAAATTAACCTGGAACTCCTGAGAGGAGAACAGAAAAAAAGATTACAATTTTATACATTGTGCTGAGATATAAGAGACCCTCCCACATAATAGTTAATCCAATAGTGGTAACTGGCCACTTTGGTGTAAACACCTGGAAACTTTGGTTGTGAAGATGTGTGTATACACACATACACATGCACATACACACAATTAAAGGAATCTTAGTCACGCAGAGCTAAATGAAACAGCAATAAAACTTGATGCAAATTAAGAAAACAAACCAAAAAAGAAGGAATTCATAAAAGACCTCTAATCAAGGATCACACTCATCTAATCAATTCTCTAACAGAAGCAGATACTTGATAAAGGAAGTAGAATAAATGCTTGGAGGAGACTCTAGGTGGTGGGTGTATGGGTGTTCGCTGTAAGCCTCTTTGAACTTTGCTATACGTTTGAAAATTTTCCCATTAAAGTATCGGAAAAAACTATATGAATCAGTAGGATTGAATATGGAGAAACACATGTATTCTGTCAGGAACAAGTTTATGAAACTTGATTTTTTAAAATTTTTATTAGAATAACATATAGACTAAAAATAACATAGATTAAAAGGTCAAATAGCACAATAAAGCTTATAATGAAAAAGAAAAGGCTCCTAGCACATCTCTGAGTTTCCAGGCCCTAAAAACAAGTGTGAAACTATGAAAACTTTATTAAAACATAAAACCTATATTACATTTCTTATGTAATTTTTTTAGTGTATAGGTGGAATAAAATGAATTGGGGAGTCAGTGGAATGATAAAATTTTAGAATTAGAATTTTACATGTCTTTTTTTTTTTTTTTTGAGACAGGATCTCTCTCTGTTGCTCGAGGTGGAATGCAGTGGTGCAATCACAGCTCACTGCAGCCTCCACCTCCTGGGCTCAAGCAATCCTCCTGCTTCAGCCTCCCAAGTAGTAGGGACTACTAATTAAACCTTTAATCTATGGCCATTCAATACCAAGAATAGGACATTTAAAAGCTCTTTAAATGGATTAATTAGAAGAGAAACTATTTTCCAGTTCATATTTCTACAAGAATCTTTCTTACTTCAAGTATAGTTTATTAAAGAAAAGTGCTAGTAGTATTACCCAAAGCAATTTGCAGGTTAATATAATCCCTATCAAAATACAAATAACATTACTCACAGAAATAAAAAACACAATACTAAAATTTGTATAGAATCACAAAAGACCCTGCATAGCTAAGCAATCCTAAGCAAAAAGAACAAAGCTGGAGGCACCACACTGCTTGATTTCAAATTATGCTGCAAAGCTAGAGTAACCCAAACAACATGGTACTGCTAGAAAAACAGATGCATAGATCAATCAGTATGTCAAAGAGATGACTGCACTCTCATGTTTATTGCAGCACTATTCACAACAGCCAAGATACGGACTTAGAACCTGTCTATCAACGGATGAATGGGAAAAGAAAATGTATTCCATATATATAATGAAATATTATTCAGCCATAAAAAAGAATGGAATTCTGTCATTTGCAGCAACATAGATGGAACTGGAAGTAATCATATTAAAATAAGTCAAGCACAGAGAGACAAAATATCTCACATTCTTACTTGTATGTGGGTGCTAAAAAAGTGGATCTCATGGAGGCAGAGAGCAGAATTATGGTTACCAGAGGCTGGCAAGGGAAGGGGAAAGTCGGGAGGGATGTAGAGAAGTTGGTTAAGATGTACAAAAATAGTTAGAAGGAGTAAGTTCTAGTATGGTAGAGAAATTATAGTTAATAATGTATTGCATATATTTAAAATAGCTAGAAGGCAAGAATTATTAATAAATGTTTCTAATGTGAAAAGATAAATGTTTGAGGTGACAGTCCAATTATTCTGAGTTGATTGTTACACATTGTATACAGTTATCAAAATATCACATATGCCCCCCAAAATACATACAACTGTTACATATCAGTAACAATTTTTAAAATAAGTGTTAGTAGCAGATTGGTAAATAACAGGTCCTATTGGACCTACTTTAATAAGTAGATGATTATTTGTAATCAATGTGTAACTAAATATATTTAAATAGATGCTACTAAAATGTATGTAATGGATTAAACAATCTTCAGCAGTTTTAATCAAATTGTTACTCTGCTTAGCAACTCTGTCTTTGAAATAATTATATGATATCTCAGTTCAGTTTTATAAACAACATAATTCATTTTCAATCGAGAAACTGACATTAATAGGACTTTACTATACATTAATATATCTCTTTTTTTCTTTAGACAGGGTCTTGCTCTGTCACCCAGGCTGGAGTATGGTGGTGCAATTGCAGCTCACTGCAGCCTCGACCTCCCAAGCAAGCTCAAGCCATCCTCTCACCTCAACCTCCCGTGTAGCTGGGATTACAGGCATGTGCCACCATGCCTGGCTAATATTTTATTATTTGTAGAGACAGGGTCTCCCTATGTTGCCCAGTTTGGTCTATGAATATTAAGTTAGGAAAGAAAAATAATGCTTTCCTATCAAGTGAATTGGTTTTTCAATTTTCCTTTCCATGCCCGAGTTTTGGTTCATTTCTTTGATGTTCTGTCAGTGTCTTTCAAAGGTGCATGTTGGAATATGGGAAACAGATTGAAGAGGGCAAAAAGGTTGACAGTATCCATTCATTC
Source organism: Homo sapiens (assembly GCF_000001405.40). Taxonomy (NCBI): domain Eukaryota; kingdom Metazoa; phylum Chordata; class Mammalia; order Primates; family Hominidae; genus Homo; species Homo sapiens. The sequence continues at coordinate 30,592,093 of NC_000002.12, read as the reverse complement.
ACATATATGGAGTGCTTAGTAAGTACCAAGTCCTGCGCTAGGGCTGGGATCACAAAGATGAACAATACCTCTCATGACATTAACAGTCTGGTAGGGGAGGTAAGCTTGTAAATAAACAAATTATTATACTATGTGATGAGGACAACAGTGTAAAAATGTAGAAGATATAGGAACATTCAAAGGAAGGAGTGACTAACTATGGTAGAAGGCGTGAGGCAAGAAAGTTTCTAAGAAGGGCAATAACCAAGCCAATTTTCAAGGTGTATAGGTATTCAGCTCTGGACTAGATAGTATTTGAGGCAAAGGGATAAGCAAAGAAAGCTGAAATGGTGTGCAGGGTGTTATTAACTGTTCACCTGTCTGTCTCCCTTAATAGACTGTGGGCTCTAGTCTATTAGGGAAGACATGTCTATGTTTTATTAACTTTGGTTTTTTCAGAGCCTGGTTACAGCAGGTGGTCAATAAAACTTTGTAGGAATGATTATTCTATCAGTAATATAACACACATAACATGAATGTATAGAACAGTTGTTTCTAAGAGTTGGAGACAATAATTTAAAAATTAAACATACTACTTTGTTTAAAGTCAAAAAAATAAATTCTAAAAGCACTCTTTCATTTGTTGACCTTAAAGGATGCAACATAAATATTGTACTTAAGGCCAATGCTAAACTCAAAGCTCAGCAGCTGAAAATTATCCTTAAACAGTTCATTAGTAATAATTTTGGTGATGTATGGAACACTACTAGGGTGGTCTCGGTACTGAGCTAAGCTCTTTACACAGAAGTCATTTGTTCCTGACAGTAATCCCGAAGCAGGTATTTTCATTTTACAGATGTGATGGGGTAGTTTAGCAAGTTGATCACTATACTCTAGTTTGGAAAGTAACATTATTTTCCTCAATAGCTATAACACTTAGTTCCAATTTCAGTTATACAAACTGATTTTCTAATGCCCTAAACTGCAAAAGTCACAATCACTATACTCTAGTTTGGAAAGTAACATTATTTTCCTCAATAGCTATAACATTTAGTTCCAATTTCAGTTATACAAACTGATTTTCTAATGCCCTAAACTGCAAAAGTCACAATACATATATCAGCTCTCCAATTTTACCTCGAAGTTGAAGGACTGAAGAGGGAACATTTAGGACATCAGAACAGCTTTGATGTTACAAATCATGCAGTGTATTTCATCTGTGATATCTAGTCTTGGCTAGGCATTTCTTTGCTGGTTATTAGTACTTAGTATTTATTTTAATGATATTTAACGCCTTTGAACTTTGTTTTATTTGTGTAAAAATAAAGTAACCTAGCCCTTTTCCTTGCTCAAGTATCAGAGTTTTCTATGTATATTTAATATATTTCCATGCCACTACCTGCTGCTAAATAATTAGTTTCTGAAACTCTTACTGAGTTTCAAACAGTGAAACATAAGATGATCTGTTTTAATGTCAAGTTTCCATTCCAAAGTAAATATGTAATTTGCTTCTTCATTTCCGTCCTCCCTGTAAAAGCCATGCCTCATCACTCCCAGAATATAATAATAGATATACATATAATATATATATATATAAAATATGTCCACCTTCACATAAGAATGGGTAATAAATAGGTTTACTACCTTTTGGTAGGGTAAATAAAATCTTTTATTCCTTCTAATTAATTCTTCACTTCTTTTTATAAATCAAGTGATTTCCCTGCCATCTATAAAGTTGTTTCAGCTAGGGAATAACTAATCAACTATTGTTTCCAATTTCAAAAAAAAAAATCTATCAAAAGCCCTAGTTACAGTATTTTAAAGTCAATGATGGAAGTTTAAATAGCTGGCAAAAATTATTTTTAAGTGATATTTCAAGACACATCTTCACTCACAAATGTTCTCAAATCACTAGGCGTTTATTTAAAATGAAGGCCTTTCCTAAGCAGAAGGATCCAGAATTCTTATGGACATAACAGATTCTAAAAAACTTCTCTAGATAAAGTCTGAGTAGAATGATTATGTAAATGAAAATGAAATGTACCAGAAAGGCAACACTGAAGGCAGACAGATGTCCTTGAGTAAGGAGACATGATTATCACCTCTCTTTCAAAACAAAATTCCATAAAATAGAATTTAAAATGCCATACAGAAGGAAGAAAAACTTAGTCTAAATCACCTCTTGGATGCTTTGATTTACCCTTTTCAAACAATGGATGAATGGAAAAAGAATCCTGGCCTGTTACTAAACATTGGTCAAAGACATGAGTAGGAGCAGCAGCAGACCCAAAGAAAACGAACTAAAAGATTAGTAGGTAAAAGTTCACCACTCATAATTGGATACTTTAATATGCTTTGAATATCAAAGATAAAACAGACACCATTATAAATAAAAGCTATCTGTGTGTATACACATTTGTGTTTTTCATTTGCTTTTCAAGAAGATACGCCATGTACTAAGTACATTCAGTTCACTCCAATAACATTAGTGCTTAAAGACACCTCATCAACAGTTTTACAACTTAGGAATCAGATGAACAGGAGAAAGACATTCTTACTCTGTTGTATGTCTAATTTACATTTTCAGTAGGCAAGTGTCCCTCTGGATGACAGCAATACACTGTCCTGTTTCTCTCCTTTTTTTTTTTTCCCCTCAACATGACATCCTTCAGTCACTCTCCTGATTTAGGATAAACATACTCGTTATCCACCTTTTTCTCAATTCATCCAACTGAAAATAAAGTCAGCATCCAGCTATGGTGGACAGTACTCTAACACAACATCCTAGAGGAACTATTGTAATTGTGTCATATACAACTCCCCTACCAAAGAGGACACATTTTGTTCTCAGTAAAACTAAACATGGAATAATATTTCAATTGGAAGACATTATCTAATATTTAAAAAAATGTTTTGTCAAGTTTACTGTCATGAAAGAACTATGTCTGTAGGAATTCCCAAGTGAACCTAACTGGAATTTAATATCTGATGAACTGGAAAGCAGGCCAATTTGCTAATGGATCAATGCCAAATAACCAATTTGCAGAATTTACAAAATGTACTCTTTACCAAAATCTTGTCCATCAAGTTGATAGCAATTCATAATGTTAAGATTTTTTTCAATAACCTTTGAAGTTTTCTGCAATTTTATTTGACTGGATTTCATTGTGTCTTTTATTAATTCATTACAGCTGAATAAAACTAGGGCAGAAAGTGGCAGGGCGCTGTGGCTCATGCCTGTAATCCCAGCACTCTAGGAGGCCGAGATGGGTGGATCACCTGAGGTAGGGAGTTCAAGATCAGCCTGACCAGCATGAAGAAACCCTGTCTCGACTAAAAATACAAAATTAGCCAGGTGTGGTGGCACGTGCCTGTAATCCCAGCTACTTGGGAGGCTGAGGCAGGAGAATTGTTTGAACCCGGGAGACGGAGGTTGCAGTGAGCTGAGATCGTGCCATCAGTACAGGCTGGCTGTACTCCAGCCTGGGCAACAATAGTGAAATTCTGTCTCAAAAAAACAAAAAAACAAAACAACAACAACAAAAATAACAAAAACAAAACTAAGGCACAAAGAGAAGAGGAGAGTTTGAGGCCTCAGAGTCTGGTTAGGAATTCTGGCTCCTAACTGCTCTAACAATATCTGCAGTATAAATTTTCATCCACTCTCCTCATCCCCATGTATGTGCATGAATGATATGGCAGTGAGGAAGAAGCCTCTGAAAAGGATGTTTGGGGGCACAGCCACATGAGCAGAAACTGGTAAAAAGGACAGGAGAGGAGAGCAAGGTGTTTATCCCCAAGGATATGGTCTGAGTCCTAGAGAAAGAAGATTTGAATTAAAAGCTGAAGGAGGTGAAGAAGTGCTTCCCAGGAGGGATCTCCTTCAGGACAGAGAGAGGCCAGAACCACTTGGCCCTTGGAGGGTTGAAAACGTCAGGAGCACACAGAGCCATGCCCTAGGCAGCGAAGCAATGTTTCTGGCCTATACAGCCAGCTATGAGGTGACCTGATCAAGGTGGCTTCCTCACATGGATTTTGCAAGGAAGGCTTCTACCAGAGGGTCAGAGCTCAGGAGACAGAAATACTTGGAAATTATTGTTGGACATTTGGGGAGAGATGCTGAAGTTTGGCAGCTAGGCTGAAGAAGGCTTCCAGATAGGACTTTTTGGTATTATTATAATCTCATCTGTATCTTTAGGCTAGGAAGACTTGGGGACATTTGGAATTACTACAACACTTAAAGACTGGTCAATTATCTTTTAATCATTGATCTTGGATAAAAATCAAATTGTTCTACTTCCAATAGAGTTCAACTATTTGTCTAAGAGGACAGCTCTTAAAAAAAAAAGGTACCATAAACAAATGAGTTATTCATACTAAAGATATTGTTAGGAAAGAGGAAATTATAAACAATTCAAGTTTTGCTTAACTTTTACAATGTTCAGTTTCTTCTTTCTCTTATATTACAACTTCACCATCCTGTTGTCTTTGAAAAATCAAATTAGATAATAAGCCTATTTTTATAAACATAAAATCCTTATAATGTTACAAGAGGACTTGTCAGACTTCAGAACTTCAAAAGACTAGTTTAATGCATCAAAGTCTGTATCTTCAGATCTTAGGATTTTAAATTCAGTAGCGCTCATGTCTATTTAAAGTTTCCCTAGAGTGCTTTTCTATTTCTGAGAAATTTAACAATAACAAATAGTTACCAAAAATAATCCCTTTGAAATTACAGTAACCGCATGAGAAAGATGTTGCGTCCCGCAGTCTCAACATCATAAAAAAAAAACTACCATGTTTAAATAACCACAAATTGCCTAGAAGTTCTATTAAAAAAGAGAACAGAAGATTCTTGAAATCTCAGAAAATTATCAAATATTAGAATTAAAAGAGATCTCAGAAGTCTTCTACTTCTGTCCTTTTCACTAGTTCTCCCTAAGCTGGTCTCAAGGCAGAGAATGTTTCTAGAGGAAGGGGGTGTCCATTAGGATCAAGTGTTAGTGACAGAGCAAGAAAGGACAAGGTCTGGGATTTACCACAAGGTGGTCACTTGAGAGTGTTCAGGTTTAGCGGAATCTAAGAGGTAGAAGACTGATCACAAAAAGTTTTGAAGTTATTAGGGAATAAGGGTGTGATGACAGTTCATCAACAGCTCTTCCAAGAAGTTTATATCTGAAGCAAAGAAAGATGTAGTGTAGAAGCTTGGAGTAGGGGTGCATGGTGAGGGGGTTATAAAAAGTGTCCGTGTAGTTGCATGGTTTTTTTTAAGTCTTTTTTTCCTTTTTAAAGACTAAAGACATTTGAACAATATTAAATGCTGACAATAAGGAAGGATTGGTAAGTTAGAGCTTAAAGATAAGAGACACAGGGACAAGATGTTGAGGATGGGCAGAGGAGGCTTGAAATTGCTACTGCAGAGAATGGAATGGTTGACTAGGGAAACAGAAAAATGGTCAGCCAGCATTGAAGTCAGCAACCGTACTGTGTTGAAGAGTGTCTCCCAATTTAATGTTTACTGGAACCCCAGAATGTGACTTTACATCTGCAAAGAACCTATTTCTAAATAATTAGTTAAGTCACAATGATGTTATAGTGGATTATGGTGAGTATCATGAGTGGTATCCTTAAAAGAAGTGGGAAGTCACAGGGCAGAAGGCCATACAAAGATGGAGGCCATATAAAGACTGGAGTCATGCTGCCATAAATCAAGGAATGCCTAAGACTGATGGCAACCAAGAAGAGGCAAGGAAGGACTCTTCCCCAAAGCCTTCAGAGGGAGCGTGGCTCTGCCAATACCTTGATTTCAGGTTTCTAGCTTACAGACTGTGAGAGAATAAATTCCTACTGGGTTTTTTTTTTTTTTTTTTTTTGAGACGGAGTCTTGCTCTGTCACCCAGGCTGGAGTGCAGTGGCGCGATCTCGGCTTCGCAAGCTCCGCCTCCCGGGTTGACGCCATTCCCCTGCCTCAGCCTCTGGAGTAGCTGGGACTACAGGTGCCCACCATCACGTCTGGCTAATTTTTTTGTATTTTTTTAGTAGAGATGGGGTTTCACGTGTTAGCCAGGATGGTCTCGATCTCCGGACCTCGTGATCTGCCTGCCTCAGCTTCCCAAATTACAGGCGTGAGCCACCACGCCCGGCCATTCCTACTGTTTTAAGCAACCTAGTTTATGATAATTTGTTACAGCAGCCCTAGAAAATTAATACAGCAACCAAGAGTTTATTTGGCAGTAATCTGCATGGTTTAGGGGATTTTCTCCAGCAGAGCTAAATGCTAGTACAGGTATAGAGAAGGCAAGCAGCAGGCAAGACCCAGGAATGCACTTCTGCTGACTGTGTGCCACCCAAGAGCAACAGGGATAAGGTGTTCAAATACTAGCAAGAGTTTGGTTTAAACAATGGACCACAGAGTATAACCGATAAGAGAGAAAAGCATGAACACAGAAGGATGATTATGGATAGGGAAAAAGCATAAGGGTATTAAGGGAAGAGAGATCTTAATGAGAGTAAAAACAGCCTAGAGAGTGAGATGTTGCAATTTAACGTTTAACAGGTGGAGCAATTCCTGAAGACAAGATCCAAACTATGAAGTAGTGTGAATAATGAGGAGATCATGGAACTGGCATGAGTTATCATGCAGACGGTGAACTTACCTAAGAATGTGGCTAGACTAGAGAGGGAATGGAAGACTGAGCCAGGTGCTAAGTCTCCCCTCTCCAGTGAAATGAAGGCTGAGGCAGAGGATGTAGTGAAGGGTTGACTGATTTCTGAGAGAGGTAAAAGTTGCTATATTTAGATGACAAAAGGCTCAAAAAAATGTTTTTTGACTCGGTATTTTTTTTTACCGAGGATGGATAAATCAGAGGTAAATTAAGAACATTATATGGTAGTGAGATATGAGAAAATGAACAGCGCTTGAGAGGGAAACAAGGAAGAGGCATGGAGTCAGGAGACAGCTATGTTTTAATGAAGGCAATAAGGCAGATAGCATGGTCAACACAGAGGTAGTTTGAAAAATGAGCCCATCATCGTGATGATCAAGATTATTTCTCATTTACCCCATAGAGACTGTAACTTGGCTACAACATCACTCTGATATATAAAACCTTACCTCTACTCATGTCCTTTAGGTAAGCCTAGAGGGTTTTTTTTTTTTTTTTTTTTTGAAATATAGTAATATTGGTTCCTTATCAGGGCAGCAAGTGGTTCTTCCACTGGCAAACTTTTCCGATCACCCAAATCACCGGCACAAAGGAACATTGTTGGAAAGATCACTGATGCTTTATGATGTGCTTGAGACATCACTGAAGAACATAAAACTTTTATATTAGTCTAGAATATAGCCAGTTTTTATGGATTCTAATTATTACAGAGGCCTGATGGCCCTGAAGAAGATAAAAGTTGGACTAACTGCCATCATAGAACATTTTTTGCTAAGCTGCATCAGTATCTACAACCAAGTTTTGCTACTTAGAAAGCACTGTCTAATTATACACAGACAATAAACTAGAAAGAATTACAGCAAGAAATCCAGAGAACCTTCCAGGATATTGTCAGAGTGTGGCCATACACCATCAAGCTCTATACCATACAAAGCAGTGATATTCTTTAACCCTCTTTAAGACTGTGACATCTGTACCTACCATACACATTATATCTTGAATGAATTCATTAAAGTCAACAAGAAGCCTTCCTTATTATTAAAGCCATTCTAAATGTGATTCAGCCAGCCAGAACAGTTAAGAACAACTGCAACAACAACAAAGCTATTTTTGGCTAGATGCATTGAGTGCGGGTAAAAAAAGGAAGCAAGAACAGGGTAGTCAACAGGCTAACAGGGTAGAGAAGAGAGGTTCACGCATGTAACTACAACACTGAGGAATCTTAATAGACATACAGTTAAACTGCTACACGGATTCAGAAAAAGAAAAGACCAGTTTGGCTGACGGGATCCAAGAAGATGGCCACAAATAGAAATAAAAACAAACACTGCATGTTCTCACTCATAGGTGGGAGTTGAACAATGAGAACACATGGACACAGGGAGGGGAACAACACACACCAGGGCCTGCTGAGAGGTGGGGGGCGAGGGGAGGGAAGTTAGAGGAAGGGTCAACAGGTGCGGCAAACCACTTTGGCACACGTATCCCTAAGTAACAAACCTGCACGTTCTGCATATGTATCCTGGAACTTAAAAGGAAAGAAAAGAGCCCTTCCCTTATCTTCTTGTTTATTTCAAACATTCCCACCTAATTCAACATGAAAAAAACCAAACCAAAGCAAATTTAAAATCCTGAGTGGCTACACAAACACCACATATAATATACATACCAATAATTAGAAGCCTGAAAAATCCAATGGGTAGAAATTTAACAGTATTGGTAAAGACTGCCACAGAAATGATGGCAGCTCACTCGTCAAGATTCATTTTCTTCTTTTCTCTCCATTTGCTATCACTTAATATAATACACTGGCCAAATTCGGACAATTTCAGCAGATGGACCTGGAAGCTAAGGGTTTTATCTTTTCCAACCACCCTTCCCCAAGGTGAGAGTATGATGTTTCAGCATTATCTTGCCAGACAGAAACTGCATTGGGGGTTGTGGTGGGAAATCTGTTTACAAGTGGATGGACTAAAATACTGAAACAGAAAAAAAAATCAAGTATGTGCTTTTTAGGCCTTGGGTAAGGACAATGGCAGCCAGAGGACAACACTGCTATTGTGGTGATGTAGAACACTATTTTTGGATGGCACTTTAATGAAACAACGAAACCCATGATCTTAAAGTTTACAGAAATGAAATTTGACTTGTAATTGCTACCTATCTCTATTCCCAAGATAGCAAAAGAGGCAATAGATGCATCTGAGAAACTTCTGGTTTAGCTCCTCAAATTGCAAATTAAGATCTAAATACTGAGTTTTATTTTAACAGTAAGCCATACTATCATCCTTTTGATTAATACCCAATAGCTAGTTATATGTGTTGGCTAATTTAGCTTATCTTAAACTTGTGTGCCAACACTTTAAATAAAAACACTTTAAATAAAGAGCTAATTAGAGTATAAAATAAAATGAACTGGTTTATAGTGCAGAAAAATGGTCAGCAGAATACAAAGATCTGAATTATTAAAAGTTCTGAAGTCATAAAAGAGGATGACCTTTATAAAAGAATAGCAATCTGCTTCAATTTATGTAAATGTTACAAGCTATTAGCCAATGGAACTTAAGGCTGCATAAAAGGTGAGAATTCTCAGGCATATTCCATCATACTCTGTGACATCTAACATTCCCATTTTCTGTAATTGCTGCCTCTTTGATGTTTTCATCCTGAGTTTTCCTCTCCTAGCCAAACGTTATAGGGCCAATAGAATATGATGTTGCACTTGGTACACAAAGTTCCCTCAACATAGCACGGTGAGTCAGTGAGTGAGAAATAAACTAAAATAAAATTTAAAAGGAAGGCTATGGGGATGAAATTTTTAAAAGGAATCTGGGCTTATGATACATTATGGCATTTACATCCAAACTATTAGAAAAGTTGCTGTAAAAGCTGCATAATAAGCAAAGTTGGACAACAGAGATTGTGCTTGGCATAAGCTCCTTACAGCTAGGAGAGAGCAAATAAGCCAAATACAAAATATCCTGAGCCACCAAGTTAGGATAATCACCTACAAATACAATCACTGCCATTGTGAAGAGGAGTTATATATCCTCATAAAATAATATTCTTCAAGGTGGTGCCTGTGGGTTATTAGCCTCATAAAGAATTCTGACAAATATATTCCTGTAGAAGTTCACTGATCTCATATACAATTTGATTGAAGTATATCTGTTACATTCATTAATATATTCATTCAATATTTATTGAACAATTTAGCACCATTGCCATGGGAGGGGGGCAGGGGCAGGGGTGAGGAGAGGGGGAAAGGGGGAAAAGGAGAAACAGAGACTGACTGATTCAATGCTTTTACTTTGGTTTTAGAAGCTCCTTGACCCAAAGGAGCTTACACTCTAGTATAGAGGAAAAAATATATTTTCTAATTAAGTGATTATTCTTGCTTTTTAGTATTTTTAATTGACAAATAATTGTACCTATTTATGAGGTAGTGTGCTATTTTAAGATATGTATGCAATGTGTAATGATCAGATCAGTAACTGGCATATCCATTACCTCAAACACTTACTTCCTGTGTTGAGAACACTGAAAAGCTGCTCTTTTGGCTATTTACAAGTATACAATCAATTACTGTAAATTATAGTCACCCCACAGTGTTATAGAACACTATAATTTATTCTTCCTATCTAGCTGTGCTGTTGTATCCATTAACCAACCTTTGGCTATTTCCCTTCACTTTTCCAGCCTCTAGTAACCACTATTCTACTCTCTACTCCTATGAGATCAACTTTTAAAGCTTCCACATATAAGTGAGACCATGCAGAATTTATCTTTCTGTGCCTGGTTTATTTTACTCAACATTATGTGCTCCAGGGTCATCCATGTTGCTGGGAATGATGAGATTTCATTCTTTTTATGGCTGAATAGAACGCCATTGTATATACTTACACACCAAATTTTCTTTATCCATTCATCTGATTATGAACACTTAGGTGGACTACATATCCTGGCTATTATTAGTAGGGCTGCAATTAACATGGAAGTGCAGGTGTCTCTTCAACATACTAATTTCCTAATCACCCAGAAACTGTGTGAGTCTTAAGATGGGTTCAACTGTTGTAGAAGACTGGAGGGGGACTGACAGGACTTCCAGCTGAAGAGATCAAGAAATGATCTTCCTGAGATAGGCATAAAGGAACAGGGGTATCTAATCAAAGGCAGAAGAGATGGGAGTACTGCAGGTGGTGGGAAGGAGTGGGCCACTGTGAGGCATGTCAAGTCACCACTTTGGATGGAACTTAAGTAGAGGCAAGAGCCCAGACTGGCTCTGTAGTCTGAGGTTTGAGAGCTCAGCAATGCTCTTAACTTGGTTTTGGTCAGCTTCCTTTTCTCATTTACCACAACAACTATTCCAAACTCTGATTAATCACCTCCATCCCCTTGTAACCCCACCATCATCAGATTACCTAACCTCTGATCTGACAGAGAGCACAGGGCCTTCCAGCAAAGCATCCCTCACCTTCTCACCACCTACTCCCAACCATAAGATACTATTTTGGGGTAACTATGATGATGCTAAAGCCAACAGGTCTTATTTTATCTTAGAACAAGTAGTAAACTGCTTAGGAAGATAATAAACTCTCTTAGAATACTAAGAAGGGAACGATTTACTCACCAGGCTTGGAGTATTTATAAAGTCAAACAAAAATATATATTCAGCTGAACCTTGCCTCCTGCCTTACAAAATGAGGAGTCCCTCTTAACCTGATTTCTGCTCCTATCCTCTACTGATTTCTCAGAAAACTGCTCCATTGTTAATCCTTTCACGTTCAGCTGTTCTTCTACATAATCTTCTCAGCATTTAAAAATGCTAAACTCTTCTATTCATCCTTGAGGCAGCTTCCCCTTTCTGTTGTCTACACCCCAGCCCTCTCCGCTTCATCAGGAAACTCCCTGTAGCAGTCATCTAAACTACATATCTCCACTTATATCACTCTTCACTTACATTTGGCTCCTGTTGCCTCGTTCCTGTGAAACTATTCCCTCTCTAAGGTCATCAAATACATTATAGTTGCTGCACCCAAAGGATACTTCTCAGATTTTACGTTCAAAGATGTTACTAGTACCTAAAATCCAGATAAACCGCTGATACCTTAGACAGCATATATCCATTTCAGCCTGTGGATATCCAACCTTACAAATAGGCCAACTATGCTGGAAAAGTTTGATTCAGATCAAATTGATATTTGCAAGTATAAAATTACGACCATTTACAACCATACACAGAAAAGACAAGATTTATTTGTTTAAGTCCCAAAACCATTAGTAAAGACACAGACATTTCTCCAGAGTTTCTTTCCTAGAAAACATCTTTGTAATTGGGATGAATCACAGTCTTTTCCTACTATATGCCATCATATAGTCTGTAAATACCTCGCTCATGGATCAAAGGAGTTGTAAAAAACATGAGGTATAATTACTTTTACTGAGTCTCTTTTAACTGAACATAATTCATGCAGAAGTCTCAAAATAAGATACTATTTTGGGATAACTATGATGATGCTAAAGCCTTATTCTAAAGGTCTTATTTTATCTTAGAACAAGTAGTAAACTGCTTAGGAAGATAATAAACTGTCTTAGAATACTAAGAAGGGAACAATGTACTCACCAGGTTTGGAGTATTTATAGTCATAAATACTAGAACTTTCACAGTTCCCACTCTTTCTAATTCCCTTTCTTTTCTATACAGTTTGTTAGAAGTGAGACTTCATGACAACTAAGACTACTTCTCTAACTTAGTTCTTGCCACATAAAAAGGCTGGTCTCCACTGCTGAGTAACCCTGACTACACTCTCCCAATTTCTTTACCAATTCAAATCCTGCCATTCCTCCAGATCAAATTCAAAGTCCTATTCCCTAAATTCTCTTACTCTGCCAGCCACCACAACTGTTTTCTACTCTGCACTTGTATGCTGTTTCTGTGACACCGGATCATATACTAACCTCCCAAATTTATGCATAAGGATGTGTTTGTTATACATTTTTATTCTGATACTGTCACTAGTATGCCTTAATCACATGATATTAACTACAACACATAGGACTTACAGAAGATTCAGATTATATGCATTTACGACAAAGACATTTTCTTAAAAATACTTAAATATAAACACCTTTAATGTATACAGCTTTAAAGATAATATGTACAGGGCAAGCTTCTCGTAACATGTTTCTCCTTTGCCTAAACTCTATTAATCTATCAAGTCTAAACAAAAGTCACAGTATTTCCTGTCAAGTCTTTCTTAATTTCAGTTCTTACCAATGTCCATCCCTAAAGTTTTAAAATATAAGCCTTCATTAAAACTAATCTAGGCATATAAGAATGGCTACTGTCTCCTTGAATTACAAAAGGAACAGGCCAGGTGCCGTGGCAACAGAGACCCTTTCTAATGAATTTAAGTAAATAAATAAAAAATAAATATGAATGAATGAATAATGGAACCAACATGGTAAAGATGCTTTTTACTGATCCAAAAGGTTATTAATAATTTCCATAACTAAAATTAATTGGTAAATTATTTGGTAACTTCATTTGGATTTAACATTATGAACTTGTTGTGGTCATTAAGACACTAATGTGAATGAAAACAAGTAAATCTTATAAGCTAGAAAAAAAGTGTTCAATTCTTTTTAGGCACTATGGATTACAGATTATGAGTAATTTCCATGTACTCACATAAGGAACAGTATGAAGTTCCTCTTCTGAAACATATCATGGTCAAGTTGGTAGATCTTCTATAATAATGACATCTAAGATCAGTCCGCAAAAATAGGAATTTGTTTTTTAGCTTTGAGAGGTGCTGGTTAACTGAACGTAGATCTGCTACCAATGAGTGACAACTGTGCCTAGAAAAGGCACTGACTAACACTTCTTCTACTTTAAGTTAGCTCATTACCACTGTAAGTCACCAAGAACTTAATGCAATGAGAAAAATACAGGAAAGACCGTTTTGCCTTAACTTCTAAGGAGATCAGTGCTAAGGCTCATGTTTGACTAGGAGCAGCTTTCCTCAGCTTGGCTAACATGCCTTCCCTTCAAGCCCTATGCACACACATACTTTATTACCTGACTTTGGCACACTGGGCCACATTTCACTTATTATCTTCTCCTAAAGGCCATTTAAAATTCTATGACAAAACAAGGAAGATCTAAGTCATAAATAAACTATGAATATACAATAGGAATTTAAAACTTTGGTAATGCAGTCTCACAAGTTATCAGAATTTCTACATGGAACCCCAAATTATTTTCAGACTACATTTATACAATGCAAAATTAATCCAAAGCACTCAAAGATTTTGGAGAGGAAATCTGTCACTTCAAAGAAAGTGGCTGTGAACCTAGAGATAAGACAAACAACTATCTACATAAATTTCTCACATTTAATGTCTAAGAAATTGTGTGGCAGCCTCACACTTTCAAAAAGGCAAAGTGTTTAAAAGTTTACAAATACCCATGTAGTGTATGTAGATTATTTAAAAATGTTATATATAGTAAATAATAAGGAATCACAGACAGATGTTTACTTAACAATACTCAGATATTTCTTAGTGAAAAATATTTCGGCCATCAAAATCAGGCAGGTAGCATGAACAACAGAGATAATGGCCATGGTCAAAGACAAAGAAGAAGAAGAAGAAGAAGAATAGCACAAATATGAAGCTAGCTGTCAAGAGAGTAAAGACAGTGATTTTTTCCCCAAGGAAAAATATTAAAATGAAAAGATGCAACACATTGTAGATTACTGTCTGTTAGTGTATTATAATCAAATCAGACTATCACTGGAAAAGGTACTTCATAAAACAAAAATTGAGAAACAAATGTAAATCAGCAGTTTCATTTTAATTTCCCTTTTAAGTACCATTTCCTATGAAAAAGAGATGAGTGAACCACAATGAAATTATGTGGATTAAGTTATTAATTACCACAAAATAAAACACTTAAAAATATGCATTTTGTGTACATATGCACTTCTGATAGATTCTCAACATCAGTAATCTTACCAAGTAGGATAATCCTTGGAATTTACCCCATGTGGCCGAATGCAATACTCTTGTGTGGAGGGAGTGAAAGCCACTGAGAACACTTAAGCTTTACTCTCCTACATAACTTCATTAGGGGAAGGCTGCTGATTTAGAAGTTACTGACATTCTTTCAACGTCTTACACTTTATGCAGTGCCGAGTAGCCAACTTACGATAAATGAACCTGGACTAGTTTTGCTCAGCCCAGATTCTATGACAAGGTGAGTTTGCATGCTTTTTAGCAGTCAGATATGTATAGGGAGCCTATGTGACAAAATATATATAATATTATTACATGATATATTAATATAATTTTATATAACATATAAAAATATAATCTATGCAAAATAAAATGGAGAAAACTACTTTCATTTAGAGAGCTATGCAAATAATTTTCAACATTAATAAGTAAACAATTTCTGTATTTAGTTTCATATTTTTTACAAGTGAGGTATATGAATTTGGTTTTGCATGTGTACACACATATACTCCAGCAAATGAGTACTGTTTTAATATTACTTTGCAATACTCAACACAAATATCAACTATGAAAAAATGCAAAAAAAGGTTCTAATAATTAGAAAAATGCAGACAGAATATTTTGAATTAGGAAGAAAAAATCTATAAAGCTAAAAGAAAAGGCACAGACTTTATAAATAATGAAATGGACACATGTCAACAATAAAGAAGAAACAAGGTAAACCTTTTTTGGACAAACCCAAAAAAGAAGCATATACATTCACAATGAAACTGCATACTATATAAAACCAAAAGGCAGGCATAAGCTCCTGTTAAGATGAATTTCTGGATTCAAAGGTCCACAGGGTTTAGACTCAGGTCAAAATCTCACCTTTGCTGAGAATTTTGATTTTCATATGAACAGGAAGGTAAAGTATATTGTTACATACATTTTGCATACTCACTGAAACTTATCTTCTCTATTTTACTGCAAACGAGATTCTAAGTACATAAACATGTAGTGCCCATCTGCCACACAATGAGTAAATAGTATTGACACAGCTACTCACACCTTCAGAAGTTGTTTTCTATCTCTCACTTTTGCCCTCCAATGGGAAACCGACAAAAATATTTCAATGTATGTAACAATATTCTTTATGGTCAGTGTAAAGTCTACCGAAAGTCATCACTCAAAGGCAATTCCACAAATTTTACTCACAAAAGCTGCTTCCAAAATTCTGAATTTTGAAATAAACACATTTTGTAAAGGTCACAGTTATCAGCATTTTTCAGTGTGTCATTCTTAAAAAATATATTAAACATTATACAGGGCACCAATATTTAGGCACAGACATGCCTTATGCATGAGTAAAATACAACTGTATATAATTTTCACTCATCTATGAAAATGATAATCATCTAATAAAGAACATATATTTTCAAAATTTTTTATTAATGGTGCCATAAGACACGCAGTAATTATAACCTGGACCTACCTTTCACAATAGTAGGCATTTTTATAGCTGGCTAGTGTTAGAGAAATAGTATATAATAAACCCAGGGCAAAATTTTTCTC